>NC_000001.11:51675047-51826562 GCF_000001405.40 Homo sapiens | reverse complement strand
GCCTGCATAGTATGTCTTAGTGATTGAGATGAAAGGCATGTCCAATGCCTTTTTAAATCTTAATTATGTGTCAAAGTGCAGTCTCTATTTTTATTTACTTACTTCTTCATTTTTAATGTTTGTTTCCTTTCCAAATATGGTCTCTAAGTGTTCAGATATTTATACTCTATTTTTATCAGTTGCAAGGGGTCTTAAATCACTTTTCGTAGATATGTTTACATGTCTGCTATATTACCTGTTATTGCAGAAACATGGTGGCTTAAAATAAAACATTTATTTTCTTACAGTTTTGGAGGAATGGAATCAGGTACGTTAGATAACTTCCTCAAGGTTGTTGAGCTTAGTGTCAGAACTGCAGTTCTAGCGGTTTTTAGTCCATTTGGGCTGCCATAATGGAATCCCACAGACCGGGTGGCTTATAAACCACAGAATTGTTTCTTACAGTTTTGGAGGCTGAGAAGTCCAAGATCAAAGAACTGGCAGATTTGGTGTCTGGTGACAGCCTGCTCTCTGGTTCATAGAAAACTGCCTTCACTCTTTGTCCTCATACAGCAGAAGGGGCAAGGGAGCACTCTGAGGTCTCTTTTACAAGGGACTAATCCATTCATGAGGGCTCTGCCCTCATTACCTAATCATTTCTCATTGGCCCCTACCTCCAAATACCATCACATTGGGGATTAAGTTTCAACATAGAAATTTTGGGTGGGGGGACACAAACATTCAGTCTTTAGCGGTAGCTAAAGGTATTTCTGACTTCAAAGTGGATTGTTCTTAGCCATCATACTTTATTACCAACATAGTTGGTTTTGGAAGAAATTTAAACAATATATATGACCAAATTCCCAGATAAAAGGATTAATATTTTATTAGCATTTTCATCAGTAAAATCTTGTACATAGCATCCTAGAGCTGAAACTTTCAGATTATTAACTACCTTGTGTTTCATTTGAAAAATAAGAGTAAGACTCTGGTAAGCTGAATTGATTTACCCAAAATTACAGGTCATATTAAGTCATAGAGCCAGGCCTGGATCATTGAGTTTCCCACTTCAGTCTTATAACACGTGATTCATGAAGTTAATTTTGTTAATTCCTTGCTTTCTGTTCTGTAAGTTTGAATTTCCATATAATAAAGGAGATACTGAATTTTGTTTTATTATGTGTTTATTTAAAATTGACAGAATATCAACTTGCAAGGCCTTCTGATGCAAACAGAAAGGAAATGTTGTTTGGAAGCCTTGCTAGACCTGGACATCCTATGGGAAAATTTTTTTGGGGTAAGATACTAAATACATCATCTTATTTCATATTTTCTAGTTAAGATTTAGAATAAGAAAAGTTGATAAAGAATTGAAAATTATAAAGCTAGAGTCCCTAGGTACCTTTTACCTTTTAGGATAGCTAGTTAGCCTTTCAAACGCGAAGTTGTTAAATATGCCTCTATTTGGTTCTCTAACAGTGAATATAGCAAGAGTAACACCTAACATTTTGTGAATGCTTTTTAAGTGCCAGATACTGTGCTAACACTACATGAATTATTTCATTTGATCATTATCACAATGTTCAGAGATAGGTACCATTATCATCTCCATTTAAAGATAAACAGGTTTAGGCCAGGCGTGGTGGTTCACACCTGTAATCCCAATGCTTTGGGAGGCTGAGGTGGGAGAATCACTTGAGACCAGTTCAAAACCAGCCTTGGCAACATAGTGAGACCCCATCTCTATTTTAAATTTCAGTCAAGTTATCTCATTTGTTTAAATCACACAGATAGTAAGTGGTGGATGTGAGATTTGAACATCTGTTTATCTGATTATAAAGTCTGTGCTCTACCTCAGCCTGACATTTCCATTTGTCAACAGAGTTAGCAATAGTTTCTGTAAGAGTTTTTGAACTGCGACTTAATTTTGTTCATCTAGTAAACTGTTTAACTGGTGTCTGTTTTTCATAATGGCATTTTCTTAGTGGGAGGATTTAGTTACAGCCTCATATTAATCCTGTTGACTATAGAGTAAAATTTAGGATGAGATGATCTGAATTATTCTTTAAAGGGTGTTTTGTTTCCCTGTATATTTCTGTACAGTTATATACATTTTATAGGGCATTCTTGCTTCATGTGTTTTATTTTTAAGAATTAGATAGCCGGGCGCGGTGGCTCACGCCTGTAATCCCAGCACTTTGGGAGGCCGAGGCGGGTGGATCATGAGGTCAGGAGTTTGAGACCAGCCTGGCCAAGATGGTGAAACCCCGTCTCTACTGAAAATACAAAAATTAGCTGGGTGTGGTGGCTCATGCCTGTAGTCCCAGCTACTTGGGATGCTGAGGCAGGAGAATCGCTTGAACCCAGGAGGTGGAGGTTGCCATGAGCTAAGATCGTGCTATTGCACTCCAGCCTGGGCGACAAGAGCGAAACTCCGTCTTTAAAAAAAAAAAAAAAAAAAGAATTAGGCAAAAATATTATTAAAATAATTAGAAAGAACCTGGATTGAATACTGCTAGACTAATTATTAAGCAAGGAAGCTTAGGGAGTTATTGTCTGTTTTTTTAAGGTTTTCCCAGAGATTAATTCCTTGGATATTAAAATATACTTCAGAATTGTTTCTTATGCATTTTTGTCTTATTAATATTAATACATTATTGCACACTGGTTCAATATTCTTGAGTCCCTTGGGTTATTTCATTAATCATGTATGGTAGCAAAATATGCATTGATGATGTAGAAGACTTTTAACAAAGTTAACTTAGTTATATCTATAATTTTTTTCATTCTTTTATAGGAAATGCTGAGACGCTCAAGCATGAGCCAAGAAAGAATAATATTGATACACATGCTAGATTGAGAGAATTCTGGATGCGTTACTACTCTTCTCATTACATGACTTTAGTGGTTCAATCCAAAGGTAACTATTAATTATGGCTCTTAGAGTTACCTTGAAGTAGCGCTTTCTTAGGATTTGTTTGCCTGTATCAGTGTTGTAGTGTACTATTAATTACTTTAGTGCTTGACCTTAATACAAAGTAAAGGAAATCAGAACTTGGAGATGTCACGTAGCTAGTGGCAAAGCTCAGGGAAACACAAGATGATGAGATTCTCAGGCAAATTTTTTTCTCTTACAGAAATAGGTCTTATCTGTAAGATAAGATATGTAGGCTGGTCTGTGAATGTACTAATATTCTAATAGGTCATGAATTGATCTTTTAAGCCACCTTCAGCTGCAATTGTATCTGTGGTTTTACATTTACTCTATATCGATTACAAACTCTTACAGGGCAAAGTGTTGGTTTGTTCATTCTTACATAAGGTCCTGTAAAAATGGCATGATTAATTGAGATTGACATGGTGACAATTTAAGAATTATCTTAAATATAAAATACTGATGAATACCTCTATGGCAGAACTATCTTAAATGTAAAGACTGATGAATATCTCTATTTTCCTTCTTTTATCATTGTCTTCAGTAACTCACATTCACTTTTTCTCATTAAGGAAATCATGGAAGCTTTCTTTTGTTTTCTTTACATTTCAACCTACTTGTTTTTCAAAGTTAGTAAATTGCTAAATTATTCCTTTTAACATACCTTATAGTTTGCACATTTCTATTTGAAATGCTAATCCTCTCACCCTAATGTGATTCCCCTTTTTATAAAGTTTTGCTTTTTACATTGTCAAAATTAAGATCAAATCTGACTTGGCTCTTAGATGTAAAACATTTTCGCATTTATGATCAAAATGAGTTCACTAAAGTTGACTTGAAGGTAAAGTTTCGTGGTATGGTAGATTCTTCTGTTCAAATTGCTTTTAGGTTCCTTTTACATTTGCTAAATTAGGCAATTCCATATTTGGTATTCCCCAAGTTAATTCACAATTTTTGATTATTGTGTTTGCAAATAATTCCATGTGTTTTTCTTGAACTAGTTATTCTGTTTCTTTTGTATTCTCTTCCTCTATGATGGCAGATATAAGAGCTTATTAATGCTTATTTCAAAATTTTAAAACAAGTCCTAGAGTTTTTGTTTTTTAGCAAGACAGGGTTTTGCTCTGTCATTCAGGCTACAGTGCAGTGGCACAATCATAGCTCATTGTAACCTCAAATGCCTGGGCTCAGGTGATCCTCCTGCCTCTGCCTCTGAGATAGCTGGGATTACAGGCCCCAGCCACTGTGCCTAGGCTAGAGTTTTGATGAAAACTATGTACAATGTAGATTTCATAGGATTTAGATTTTTAGCATTAATTATACCATTTAAGAGTCAAACATCTATATAAATAATATAAATTCAGAAATGATTAGTCTGAATCCCAGGTTTTATATAATGGGGTTCTCTATTGAGAATTAGTGAAATTCATGTGCCTGGTAGAACTAACAAATACTCTTCAATGATGGTCACTCAGATAAAGCAAAAAGTTTCCTTTTTCGTTTAGATCTGTTTTTTACTATAAATTTCCAAAGAATTTCTTACTAAATATAAGAAGTGAATCAAAGGAAAACATAAATCATATATATGTATGATATATATATATATAAAGCCTAAAAAGAAGACCTATGAGTTAAAACCTCAGCAAGTGTACATTAATGTAAAACAAGTGGAATATAAAAGTACTGATGAGATGGCAAAAAGGAGAGGTTAATGTAATATGGGTTAGTACGGAAAAACCTTCCAAGAGGATGTAAGTTTTAGAATGGGCGTAGGATGGTTGGCATAATCTTATCTCTTGGTCCTTCACACTAGCCTAATGCTAAAGATATATTTTTTTGTTAAACTTGTGTGCCTTTTCTGACTTTACCAGGGAGAAATAAAGGGGTCTCACAAAATTCTGTGTGTCGTAAGGTTTTCTTTTCTACTGTTATTTTTCCTGTTCATCCATTACTGGTTCAGGAGTGGCAAGTAATGGCCAAATTAAAATATCCCTTTGTTTTTTAGCTAAAGATCTCTGAGAAATCTAATTGCATTTCTACCTTGAATAATGTCATTGCATTTTCCTGTCTCTTCCCTGCCCTCCCCTCTCAAGAAACACTGGATACTTTGGAAAAGTGGGTGACTGAAATCTTCTCTCAGATACCAAACAAGTAAGATATTTATTTTCATACATCATACACCTTCAGAGTTAAAGAGACCATTATCTTGTATGAGTCCCAAAGGTTTTTTGCTTTTTTATTTTTACACAGGTGATAGAATTAAGACCTAAACAAACTTAATGACTGTCAAGATCACACAGCTTTTGAGTGGGTAAACTAAGATGACAAGCCAAGTTTCCATAGTTCAAAATTTACAGGCTTGTAAATGTATATAGTAAGCAATAATTCTGAAAAATTTATGCCTCCTTTTACATTTATTTAGAGCTTTTCTGTGATACGAAAGAAAATACTATATGAGAGGCAGAAGAATATGCACACTTACATCCCCCGTATTGGGACAAATTGTGTTCTGAAAATTTGTTTTTTTTAAGTCAGTTGTTTGGATATTGCACTGGTTTTCCCCATAAAAGAAGTAATCTTTTAGATGATGGCTGACTTTCCATACTGCCTGAAAAACTTACTTCATATAGTCAAACCAGATGTTCTTTTATAAGAAATTGTATGTCGAGTTTCAGTTCAGGATGATTTAAACATTTTTTCTCCACCTCAAATTCATCAAAATAGTACAAATATTTAAAAGATACATTACTGCTACCTTTTTGTTACAAAGTTTACAAAAAATTTAATTCTGAAGCAATGAAATCTTTCTTCCTGTACTTAGTAGTTTGCATTTTAACAAAATTAATGAAAACAGATATTTTTTCTTGCATCAGATGGGTAACCTGTGGATTTTCCCAATTAGTCTTCTAATACATAATTAGAAACCAGCATAAAATGTTAGAATAACTTATAATGACAACTGATTGGTTATTATTAATTTGGCTTTATATGAATTTCCATTGATAATTAGCAGTGCTTTTTGGTATGTAAAGGTAATCAAGAGCATGACAAATTTGTGGGGCTGTTTTTTCTGATTAGAAGTCTTGAGTGTGAACTATGGAAATATCAAATGTGAAACTTTAATAAAATCAGAGGTGTGTTTAATAGAGGAATTCATTAGGTTCTGTCAATCCCTGATGAGCATTAAAAAAAATCTCATATATTATTCACTAATAACTTTGGTTCCTTAATTAGACAGGTTAAAAATTCTTTGAGGCATTTAATACTAATTTGCATCAACTGTGTTTTGGAAGAAATATTAAAGTTACAATATCTTCAACCAGAGTAGAAGCCCCTAGGAGGGACCAAGTCTTTTAAATACCACAGTGCCTAATATAGTGCTTTATACCTAATATTCACTTCATGTATAATCGTTGATTTTAAAAAAGTATTATCTCTAGTTTGTTTCTTTCTGGAATGGCTTTGTCTAGGAGGAGAACTGAAATTAAATGAGGCTGATAGAGTCAGTAAATATTGGGGTGAGAGGGGGTCCTTTAAATTCATTCTCTATCTCTTGAGTTGTAAAGACTTTTGAGTTATTGGGCTGAGGCTAAGAACAGATTGTGTAACTGAAGATTTTGTGGCTGTGTTGCCATCTATTTGTTCATGCCTGGAATGCTTTCCAAGAAGGAGTATGTAGAATAGATTATAAATATCTCTCAGTTAGATATCCCTAAAGATATTGCTTATAAAGGCTTTTGCCAGTTAAATTTGTATGTATTTGTTTTATTTTCAGTGGGTTACCCAGACCAAACTTTGGCCATTTAACGGATCCATTTGACACACCAGCATTTAACAAACTTTATAGAGGTTTGTGAACCAAAAGTTTAAAACTGTTTGAAATAATGTTAGCACATTCTCTATAACCTAATTGAAGCTGCCAATTTTCATTGAAAATGAGAACACAACAGAAAATACAGCTGGGTTGGAAAGGAAGTAGATGGGCAATGGAGATCTAATTAATAATAGATAGCAGACCACTGACTAGCTGCAGATCGATTGATTCTGGTGCCCTGCTGCTACTTCAGTCTATTTCATGCTTTCTCCTTGTTTTACCTTTCTTCCCTTTTGTTCTCTGTTTTGTTAAATTTTCATTCATGTTTCATTTTATTTATATTCTGCTCTTTTGCCTTTAAATGAATAAAAATAGATGAGAGGGAAAACACTTTGGCAATCGTTTCCTTTTAAATTCATTGTGAAAGTAATATTTGCTAAATAAAAATATAAAATGTCAAGAAATGGGAGATAAATCACCCTTAAATCTTACCATGAAGAGAAGTCATTTGTATCGGATTTCTTTTTTTTTTTTTTGGAGACAGAGTCTCGCTCTGTTGCCCAGGCTGGAGTACAATGGCATGATCTCAGCTCACTGCTTCGCCTCCCAGGTTCAAGCGATTCTCCTGCCTCAGCCTGCTGAGTGGCAGTGATTACAGGCACTCACCACTATGCCCAGCTGATTTTTGTGTTTTTAGTAGAGACAGGGTTTCACCACATTGGCCAGGCTGGTCTCGAACTCCTGGCCTCAAGTGATCCGCCTGCCTTCGCCTCCCACAGTGTTGGGATTACAGGCATGAGCCACCACGCCCGGCCTCCAGATTTCTTTCTGATTTTCTAATAGGTATATTTTCTTAACAAAGTCGAGATTATAAAGTATATATATAATTCTGTCTCCTGCTTTGTTTCATTTAATAGTATACCTGTAATAACTACATAATGAGTTGTGTGATTACATTATAATTTACTTAACAATTTGCCTACAGTGAATATTGCAGAAACATTCTTAATTCACCATCTCTCTTTATTCTATCACGGCAGATTTTTTTTTCTGTTTTTACTAATTGCCTTAGGTATTCCCTCCTTCTTCACCCCGTTACCAGTCTCTTTTGCTTTCCCCTAATCAGTGACTGTTTTGTTACACGCTTCTGCTGCTGGCTCCATTCTGTTAATATTAAACTAACTCTTTCCAGAGACAACTTACTTTTTATTGTATTCTTTCTGGTTTTAGGTTTCCTCTTCATAGAATAATAGCATTGAGAAGAATCCTAGAGATACTTTAACCCAACTAACTCATTTTACTATGAGTAAACAGATTCAAAAAGATTTAAATGCAAGTGATTTTCTCAGGTCATGTAAGCACATATAGCAAGATAGTGGTAGGACTGAATTTCAGCCATGGGTCTCCTGACTCCTAGTTTTGTATCCTTTCTTGCAAGAAGAGATCCATACACAGCAGCATTTCATATCCTCATAGTTCTTTTATCCCTGCTTTCTCTACCTCTGAAACCAAATAAAAAAGAAATTTACAAAAATTGCATTATTCGAGTTGGAAAATTGGCAAGTTGAAACAATAACTGCATTGTACTTAACCTTTCCTTGTTTATTGGAGGATAAATATATTGAATTTTAAACATTCTTGTAGTAAAAGTCATAGAGAAACACTTACATCTGTTCTTCTGGAAAATATTTTTGTTTAGTTGTTCCAATCAGAAAAATTCATGCTCTGACCATCACATGGGCACTTCCTCCTCAACAGCAACATTACAGGTAAGAGTTTAAGGGAAAATTTACTTCATTAGAACCAAGTGAGAGTAATTTTTAAAGCATGCTAAATGGTTTAAGTTTGGGGGTTCTGAATTTATAAACATAGCAATACGGTAACCTGGAACTTGATTACTCCGGGAGCTTTCAAGCCTTGCTATGTATTTTACTATTTTTTGGATATAAAAACTAGAGCTTTCTCAGTTATAGTGGCCTTTCTTAAGTCTTTGAAATTAAGTGTTTAGTGTGAATGCTAACTTTTGTAATTTGTTTCGATCTTGTCAAAAATAAAGTTAAATAATTTGGGCCTGGCAGACTGGCCAACATAGCGAAACCCTGTCTCGACTAAAAATATCAAAAAACTAGCCAAGGCGTGGTGGCACACACCTGTAATCCCAGCTACTCAGGTGGCTGAGGCACGAGAATTGTTTGAAGCTGAGAGGTGGAGGTTGCAGTGAGTTGATATTGCGCCACTGCACTCCAGCCTGGGTTGACAAAGCAAGACTCTGTCTCAAAATAATAATAATTTGGATTGGTAATATGACTAGGGTACATAAATCCCAAGGATTTACTCCTCTGAATTAGGGCAGGTTTATGCAGATTGGGAAAGGAGTTCTACTTGTCTGTATAGTTATCTTATATGAGCAGTGTAGCATGGGCCAGAGAATTATTTAAGTTAAGGATCAGTCAATGCCTACAAATGCTTTTCCAGTTAGAAATAAATGCTAATCAACTGATAAAAATTTAACTTTTTTGGGAGGGGGGGTGGGGCTCAAGCAGTCCACTCACCTTGGCCTCCCAAAGTGCTGGGATTACAGACATGAGCCACTGTGCCCAGCCAAATTCATATTTTAAACAAGGTTGTATGGGCTTTAAGGATTGCCTAACATAGTTGAAAATCATATCTTGACATTCAAGAATTTACTGAATTTAACTGTGTAACCTAATTAAATTTTCTCATATATACAGAAATATACAGAAAACTCAATTTTTTTCTGTATGTCTTTGTGGTAGGAATACTTTAACAAAATTACAGTAGAGGCCAGGGGGAAAGACAGTTTGAACAGCATGTGCACAATTACTCGGACTATTACATTATTAGTATGTGATAAAGCATTTTTATACTTGTTATTGCATTTTCATGAAAACTCTGTGAGTAAGTAGTTGGGCAAGTGAAGAGAAAAAGAAGAATACGGTTAAGTATCTTGCTCAAGGTCATGATTTACTTAAAGGAAAAACTAAAACTAGAACCAAGATTTTCTGACCCTCTGAACAACACATTTCATTTTACCACAGAACCCAATGTGGTACCAAAAGCTTTTACAGACAGTAATTCATACCTATATTAGGTTCTAGACTGATAAGGAATCTACATTTCATATTGGGTGAAGCAAAAAGATTTATCATGAGAGCAGATAAGTTTGGTGTCCAAGAGAAAAAGTAGTGCCCTTAAATTTTGGGATGATTGTACTCTTCAGTAATCTCAAATGAAAGAGTTAATTTTACTATATTTTCTGTTTTTATCTTCCTGCTACTAAATTAATTATAATTTCATGTTTAGTGGACATATGTGAGAATAAGTTTGTGATTATATTTTCAATTATTGTAGCCTTAGAGGTAAGATTTTCTGGTGTATTTATACCTTTTGTTTTTTTCTTCTGACCATTAAATTTTTTTAAAAGGGTGAAGCCACTTCATTATATATCCTGGCTGGTTGGACATGAAGGCAAAGGCAGCATTCTTTCTTTCCTTAGGAAAAAGCAAGTATTCAATTAATAAGTATTTTCAGTATAGCAATCTCTGAAAAATAGTAGACAATAAGTATTATATAATGCATTCTTTTACTTTAGCTGCCAGGAAGCCTAGAATAAAATTTAATGCTTAATTATAGTTATTTTAATAACTTACATTATTTTAATGGCCATATTATATTTGTGTATTTCCTTGTAAGCCACCTTTTAGCCCATTGTTGGAAGTTATTTGTACACAAAATTTTAAAAAATCATAAATGAAATTAATAGATTCCAGAATTACATAAAAGAATTAGCTCTAATCAAGAATTTATATTTGACTGAATGGTAAAGAAATCAATTATTTAAATGCCATGGATCTCCAGGCTTTCCTAACCCCCAAGGCTAGACTTTAATGAAAACTTCATTGGGTAGGTAAATCATAGTTAATAGGTGGGACTGCAAATGGTATATGCAGCCATGTTAGCAGAATGTTTCCTAAGCATTAAAGCACCTGTTTAAGTCACCTATAGCCAAATAATAGAAATACAATTTTAGAATCAAGACTAATATATTAAAGTAATTCCTTGTTTGATTTTTCTATAAATGAATAGTATGAGAATGGAAGGATAGATGAGACATTTAAATAAGTATTTTTAAGACACTTTCGTGTACTAGAACATTCAAAGAAAACTAAGAGGGGAGAGTTAACTATAAAATAATAAACTAATGATATTGGGTTCATATGTACCTTACACAATATATGTTATATGCTTTGAGCTGTGCACAACCTTTCTACCTTACTGAGCTTTATTAGAATTTCAGACTCTATTCTGGTGTCCTCTCTTTTTAATTTTTCAGAATTAATCTAGTCAGGGAAAGGTATAGTCTCATTATTTCTTTCTTAGACAACCTATGTAGGTTAGCTGACAGCCTCAAAGAACTCACTTGACATTCAATGTAAGTATGTTTTAGAAGTGTCTTAAGGCTTCTCCTAGGAGACAGGTTCAAAAATGGTGAGGCCAGGCGCGGTGGCTCACGCCTGTAATTCCAGCACTTGGGAGGCCGAGGTGGAGGATTGCTTGAGCCCAGGAGTTCGAGACCAGACTGGGCAACATTGTAAGACCCTGTCTTTATTAAAAAAAAAAAAAAAAAAAAAGAAAAAAAGGTAAGCAAAATGCTTTCCAGCAGCCATCATTTGAATATTTTGTGCTGTTCTCTTCAAAAGGAATGGTTTTGGCTTAATAAAACTGTTAATGTTTTATTATGGTGCCATATCTATTCGTATTTGCATTAAACAAAGACTGTTATTTCCTTCTGGTGATTCCTAAATGTACCACAATTCCTTGGGAGGCTTTGTGCTTTTAAAATTTGCACTTTTAGATTTACTGTTGGAAAGTATATGTTTACATTCAAAGGCTGAGATTTCCACATTTTACATAGAAAGCCTCTATATTTTGTTAATTTGAATGTCTGTAGACTGTCAATCCAGGAACATTGATTGGGTTAATTTTTTCCCCACCTGTAGATGCTGGGCTCTTGCACTGTTTGGTGGAAATGGTGAGACAGGATTTGAGCAAAATTCTACTTATTCAGTGTTCAGCATTTCTATTACATTGACTGATGAGGGTTATGAACATTTTTATGAGGTAAATAATTCAAATTCAGTTGTTTTTTCCTTTTACGTAGATATCACTTTATGCAAAAGACTAATTGGATGTTTTGTTTTCAGGTTGCTTACACTGTCTTTCAGTATTTAAAAATGCTGCAGAAGCTAGGCCCAGAAAAAAGGTAATAAACACTTCCTGGAATGAGGCCAGGAGCCAGTCCTGGTATATTTGAGGCTTCAGGCTGCCGGTAGACATGCTTTAGTCTTGCCTTGATGGTTTTTCAGGCATTTTCTGCTCTATTTCCTTTATTGACTCCATATCCTTATCCCTCTACATGTGATTGTATACTAAGGCTTTACACATATGTGGGCAGTCCCTTTATTTTCACGCTTCTCTTTTATTGTTGATGCTTCTATTGAGAATTTTTTAAACTTTTATTCTAGGTTCAGGGGTATATGTGCAGGTTTGTTATGTAGGTAAACTTGTGTCACGGTGGTTTGTTGTACAGATTATTTTGTCACCCAGGTACTAAGCCTACTACCCAATAGTTACCTTTTCTGATCCTCTCCCTCCTCCCGCCCTTCTCCCTCAAGTAGGCAGAAATTTTAATGTATCTTCTAATTATAGTTTTCTCCTTCACAGAATTTTTGAAGAGATTCGGAAAATTGAGGATAATGAATTTCATTACCAAGAACAGGTACTGGAAGTCAAATTCTTTTTGCATGTTATCTGTGACTGAGTTGAAGCTGGTGTAGACATTGTTCCTCTTTTTGAAAGTGTCGGTGGAGTTTTAATTCTGTCATTCTGTGTCATGTGAGTCTCCAGGTGGCCTTGAAGCTATCTGAAAATTAACTATTGGGTTTTTGAGTATTTATATTGAGTAAGATAAGGCAGTGAGAGGATTAAGCAGATGACACAGATGATGTTGTGTGGTAATCATTTATCTACATAGTCATCCATCTATCCCTTCAATAAACATTCATGGAGACTTGTTATGGTATTTAATATTTTGGGAATTCAAATATTGTGAAGACATTCTATAAGGTAATTTATATTTACCATGTATAATGTTAGAAACATTGTGCTTTGGAATTCAGGGGAAGGAGAGCATTTTCCTTGATTGAAATAGGCTCACAGGCTGGGCACTGTGGCTCATGCCTGTAATCCAAGCATTTTGGGAGGTCGAGCAGGCAGGTTGCTTGAGCCCAGGCATCTAGTAAAGGACTGGGCAGTGTGGTGTTTTGGGAAGCGTATGGGATATGTTATGAGGTCAGAGTTCTGATGTCCGCTCTGCCTGTCGTTTACTCACTGTGTGACCTTAGGCAAGCCATCTAGCCATCTAGTCAGGAAAAATCCGACTATGTTTCCTCATTGTAAAACATGGGACTGGAACCACTTGGTATCTGAAGGACCTGTCAGTTTTAAGAGTCTGTGTATCTGGGTGCTCGGTAAATACTTGAATTGACTACGTTCCTCTGGAAAAATATTTCCATTTCATGTATCAGTGAACAAGTGGTCATTCTTTCAGTTTTAAATTAAAATAATATTTTTATTAATATAACTTCTTATCGCAAGACTTTTATCTGACAGTCACATTTTAATTTTTTTAAAATTTTAATTAGAGACAGGGTCTTGCTGTGTTGCCCAGGCTTACCTCAAACTGGGCTCAAGTTATCCTCCCTCATTGGCCTCCCAAAGTGGTAGGATCACAGGCATGAGCCACCATGCCCAGTCAACACATTTTGATTTTTTTTTTTTTTTTTTTTTTTTGAGACAGAGTCTTGCTCTGTCATCTGGGCAGGAGTGCGGTGGCATGATCTTGGCTCACTGCAACCTCCGCCTCCCAGGTTCAAGCTATTCTCCTGCCTCAGCCTCCCAAATAGCTGGAACTACAGGCATGAGCCACTGTGCCCGGCCCAACACATTTTGATTTCTACATTGATTTGATTCATGCTTACAAATAGTGTTTAGACGATAGTGCTGTAGTGATAGGTTGCCTGTCTTTATTGCTCACATAATCATGTGGGGCACTTGACTGGTAAACAGGCATTCATAGTCCAGTGTGGTAATTGCTCTCATGAAGAGGCTGTGATATGACTAGAACCTAATGGGTTATAGGGCTCAGAGTGATGCATGAAGGGTATGAGTTTAAGCTCCCTAAGGGAGTAGCTATGGCTATATTTTCTTAGAATTTTTTTTTTTTGGAGATAGGGTCTTGCTTTGTTGCCCATGCTGGAGTATGGTGGCACGATCTCAGCTCACTGCAGCTTCAACCTCCTGGGCTCAAGCATCCCTCCCACCTCAGCTCCCCAAGGAGCTGACACTACAGGCGTGTACTGCCACACCTGGCTTATTTTTGCATTTTTTGTAAAGACAGGGTTTCGCCATGTTGCCCAGGCTGGTCTCAAGTAATCTAACCACCTCTGTCTCCCAAATGCTGGGATTACAGGCGTGAGCCACTATGTCCAGCCTACTGAGCATCAGATTCTTAAGCTGCAATTATATCTCGTTGTATCTGTTCAGAAGCTTTTGGTTTTATTGTTAATAAGAAAGGGAGAAAGTATTTGTATGTTGTGGTAAATCAAATATAATAATGGAGAAGTTCTGGTGTGAAATAATTTACCTCTTTACAGACAGATCCAGTTGAGTATGTGGAAAACATGTGTGAGAACATGCAGCTGTACCCATTGCAGGACATTCTCACTGGAGATCAGCTTCTTTTTGAATACAAGCCAGAAGTAAGGAGGTTTATACGTCTAAAACTTACTTTTAGGGGAAGAGGAGGGTGAGAAAGTACGAAGATGTATTTAAGAACCATGGGAACGAAGAAAACTTAGTTATATTTAGTCAGGATTTTTGTTTGTTTAAACAGAAGTATCAACAGTTTTGTGAATAATTTCTCATGGTTCTTTTACATAATTAAGTTTTAATATAAGGAGAAAATCAAACTCAGTACTTGTTAGGTCCTATTTTAATAATTTTCAAATGTTGAAACATCTACTGCAATAGATGAAGTGATTCCTAAGAATTATGTGGTTTCCCTGTGAAAAATACGTAGTTGTTTAGCTTACCTTTTAATTCAGTTGGAGAGTCAGGACAATTAAATTTTTAATCATTTTGAAAATATTTATTAAAAAAATGTAAGGTTCCCGAATTAGAAACATATGACTTAGGGATAATGTTACATGCCAATACATTGTCGGTCAGGGTCATTCCTTCACTAGTGGAGAATAAGTCATTTTGTTTCATACAGGCTAGCGCGCGTCAACCAGAGGTGACTTTTGCCTTCCAGGGGATATTTATCACTGTCCGGAGACATTTTGGTTGTCACAACTCAGGGTGGGGCGTGGGGTGCTCCTGGGATCCAGTGGGTGGAAGCCAGGGATGCTGCTCAATGTCCTATAATGCAGAAGGCAGGATCCTACCATAGTTATTTGACACAAGATGTTCATAGTGCTGAGATTAAGAAATTATAGGGCATTCCTTGAGATATTTTAGCATAGACGTTCCTAAACTATTAATTTTAAAGAGGACAGGGAAAGGTAAAGGAGGAAGGAACAACCACACATTCTTGCCATGTCACTAGGATGGTTGTGCCTGGTAGTGGCTGGTTGTGTTTTTTTCTGAACCACCATTTGTTGTTTTATACTTAAATAAATGGTGTTTAAGTAGTAGTTAGGGCTCCAAACCAAGCCACAAAATTCTGTTTAGTCCTTATTGTAGCTGGAGGATTACTGAAGGAGGCCCTATCTTGGCAGTGTTTTACTGATTCCTGGATATGAAGTGATACAAAACATAGCTGTTAGGAGCATAGTCCTTGGTAGCATGTACAAATTTAGTTAGAACTCCACTTTTGCCACTTCTAGCTGTATTATTCTGTACAAGTTACATAATCTTTAACCTGAGCAAATTACTTAACCATCACCCAAAGCTGACTGTTATTTTGTGTAAATAAGTATATCTTAGGATTGTTTTTAGGAATAAATGAAATAATGTATGTTAAATACTTCCTGGCTCACAGTAGAAGCTTAGTAGTAAAGGATAGCTATTTTTACTGCTAATGCTGTTAATATGTAGGATTTAAGATAAACACTGTTTAAAGCATTATCAAGAATATACTTGATATTTGTCAACTATACCTCAATAAAGTAGGAAAAAAGTTTTTGAAACACTGTTGAGACTTTGTAAATTAGGGTGTTCATGAACTGTAGGTATTTTTATGAGCATAGATCTTGGAGGTGCCTAACAATGTGATTTTTGCCTTTTTAACAGAGATGTATTAGGTTAAAATTGTGTGTATCTCTTTCCCCTCTTCCCACTTTACTAGGTCATTGGTGAAGCCTTGAATCAGCTAGTTCCTCAAAAAGCAAATCTTGTTTTACTGTCTGGTGCTAATGAGGGAAAATGTGACCTCAAGGAGAAATGGTTTGGAACTCAATATAGTATAGAAGGTAAAATATTTTAACAATTGTCTTACATTTAGGTATATTTAACTTACCTGGAAATGTTTATTCTTTAATAATTTAATGGTTCTAGAGGGGGAAAAAGTATAATTTTTTAAAAAGTTCACTTTGAAATGAAAATTACTTATACTACTGCACAGGAAGTTATTTTCTGCTATGTTTATATTTACTAACTAGTGAAAAAATTCTGTTATCTTGGTATTTTGGGGGCAGAGTTTTGACTTAGTTTTAGAAGAATGCTTCTCAAATGTAGTGTGCATTTTTGTCACTTGGAGATCTTACTAAAATGCAGATTCTGAGTCAGAGGGTCTGGGTAGGGCCTGAGATTCTGCATTTCTCTTTTTTCTTTTCTTTTTTTTTTTTGAGACAGAGTTTTGCTCTTGTTGCTCAGGCTGGAGTGCAGTGGTGCGATCTTGGCTCACTGCAACTTCTTTTGCCCCCTGGGTTCAAGCAATTCTCCTGTCCCTGCTTCCCAAGTAGCTGGGATTACAGGCATATGCCACCATGCCCGGCTAATTTTGTATTTTTAGTAGAAATCTGTCTGGGGTTTCACCATGTTGGTCAGTCTGGTCTTGAACTCCTGATCTTAGGTGATCCACCCACCTCAGCCTCCCAACGTGTTGAGCTTACAGGTGTGAGCCACCGTGCCTGGCCAGATTCTGCATTTCTGACAATCTCCCAGGTGATGCCAGTGCTGCTAGGACCACACTTTGAGTAGCACGATTCTAGAATGCCTGGATATGTGTCAGTCACAGTATTCCTGAGAAAGGATAATTGATTTGTAAGCCAGTTGATAACTAGTTTATTATTAAGAGAATGTTGAACATTGCATTGTTTATTGGGTCAGTTTATTTTTCTCCTTTACAGATATTGAAAACTCTTGGGCTGAACTGTGGAATAGTAATTTCGAATTAAATCCAGATCTTCATCTTCCAGCTGAAAACAAGTACATAGGTCAGTAAAATAGCAATTTTTATACATAATCCATCCATGTGCTAATAGGCACCTGTATAGCACATTATATTTTACAAAGTATCGTAGGAATTTATATTTGAGATTCCCAGTAACATTCTGAGGTTGGCATTAGTATTTTCTTACTTTTCCAAATGAGAAAACTGGGGGTCAAAAAAGCAAAGTGACTGGTACAAGACTATTCAGTTGGTGAATAAGAAACCAGGATTTAAACACAGATCTTGGGACTCTGAAGTTTATGCTTTATCTTGTATAGAGTAGCTGATCCTTTCATACCAATCTCCTTAGGGATTGCCATTATCTTGCCAGATTTTTCTATTGCTTTTCAAACTGCAGGTGGCAGCCCATTAGAAGGTTGTGAAGTCAATGTAATAGATTGTAAGGTCAGTGTAATGAGCCATGAAAGCATTAAAAAATCAGTTAGAATAGAAAATAGCAAAGTGTTTCATTGCATGTAGAAATAATGTTATTTTAAGAACTTTTGTTTCAGATATCTGCCTGTCTACTAGCTTGCAGTGGAAAACATATTTCTAAGTGAGTTGCAGAAAAAAATCATTGAAAGCTACCAATCCTAGGTCCAAGGTTTTAGAGTTGCTTATAACTGTAATTTACTCAGAACACTGTATTTCCAAGCCATTCATTACATGTCTAAGTATATACCCAAAATAATTGAAAACAGGTACTCAAACAAATACATGGACCTTCATGTTCACAGAGCACTGTTCACAATACTCAAAAGATGGAAACAGCCCAAATGTCCATCAGTGGATGAATGTATAAACAAATTGTGATGTATACATACTTTACAATATTACTCATAAAAAGTGTAGTACTGATACATACTATAATGGGGAAGAACCTTGCAAACATCATGCTAAGTGAAAGAAGCTAGACACAAAAGGTCACAGATAAGTCCATGTATACGAAATATTCAGAATAGATAAATCCAGAGACAGAACATAGATTGATGATTGCTAGGGGCTGAGGTGAGTGGGTAATGAGGAGCAGTCTCTTAAGGAGTAGGGGGTTTCCTTTTGGGGTGATGAAAATGATTTGGAACTAGCTAGAAGTGGTAGTTGCACAACATCGTGAATGTATTAATGCTTCTGAATTGTTCACTTTAAAATAGCTAAGTTTATGTTATGTGAATCTCCCTTTCATTAGGGAAAAAAAGCCTTTTAAAAAAGTATTGGCCAGGTGCCATGGCTCATACCTGTAATCCCAGCACTTTGGGAGGCCAAGGCAGGCACATCACCTGAGGTCAGGAGTTTGAGACCAGCCTGAGGAACATGGAGAAACCCCATCTCTCCAAAAAAATACAAAATTAGCCAGGCGTGGTGGCGCATGCCTGTAATCCCAGCTATTTGGGAGGCTAAGGCAGGAGAATCACTTGAACCCAGGAGGCCGAGGTTGCAGTGAGTTGAGATCGCACCATTGCACTCCAGCCTGGGCAACAAGAGTGAAACTCCATCACACACGCCAAAAAAAAAAAAAAAAAAAGTATTAATTATCTATATTAGACACTTCAGTTTCATATCTTGAACTGTAAATAATCTAAACAACCCAGTTAGCTTATTATTTTGGTTTTCTGAGTTAGGGTTTTACTCTGTTGCCCAGGTTGGAGTGCAGTGGCATGATCATGGCTCACTGCAGCCTTGACCTGCTGAACTCAAGCAGTCCTCCTGTGTCAGCCTCTTGAGTAGCTGGGATTACAGGTGCGCACCACAATGCCCAGCTAATTTTTAATTTGTTTCTAGAGATGTGGTCTCTCTATGTTGCCCAGGCTGGTCTCAAACTCCTGGCTTCAAGTGATCCTCCTGCTTCAGCCTTCTAAAGTGTTGGGATTACAGGCATGAGCCACCATGCCTACCAAATCCAGCTCTTTTACCTAAATATAGCAAGTACTCAAATTTTAAAAATTAGCTATTTTTCATCTATGTGATAATGAAACTGTTGTTTTAATTAACCAAAAGGACAAGTTTGACTTTGAGCAGAACTATTTTGTAACTTTTCAAATGTATAGCATAAGGTTGGTAAAAGGCATTCTCATGAATTAATGGATTGTTTAATAAATTGGTTTATGAAACTATCCTGACTAAAGGCTCCTCTCTCAGTTAAAATTGTCTGTAAGAAAGGGAATGAAGCAGAATGTGTAGCAACCAGAATCAGTTCTTGGGAAATTCCAGATCTTTAGAATTTATTTACTTTAAGACCAACATAGTTTTCCCTTTGGTATTGGTCTACTAATTTAATGTATTCCAACATTTGAATTTGGCTTATTTTTGCCACAGAGAAAAGTTACTTAGACTTCTGAAGCCAATAACAGATTACTGGGGCTCCTGCTGAAATACTTGAGTGAATTATTATTATCTTCTTTTATTAGCCACGGACTTTACGTTGAAGGCTTTCGATTGCCCGGAAACAGAATACCCAGTTAAAATTGTGAATACTCCACAAGGTTGCCTGTGGTATAAGAAAGACAACAAATTCAAAATCCCCAAAGGTAAAATGTTGCCCTCCTGTTACTTCCCTGCTGAATTCCAGTGTTCTCTTTAGATGCTCTGTTTCACATGTGATTATCTACTTGCTATTTTGATCTTCCTTTGTGGAGGAGGCTGGGGCTGGGTGCCTCTATCAGCCACCTTGATGCCCTCTCACCCTCCCTAAAAGGAGTAAAATAAGTAAAACAAATATTTCTCCACTTTGCTGTAACTTGCTTCCCCTGTGTATATCACCTACTTCTCTTTCCTTTTCCCCTTCCGTTTGAAGACTTTTTCTAGGCTTATCTACCAGATTTATACTGTCCTCCTATGCTGTCACAGAAATCCTTATGGACACTCCAGTGTCCAGGAAATGAAAATTTAAGGCTAGAATGAAATCGTTTTTAGATTTTTTTCTTTCAGTTAAATGAAAGCAGAGCCAGGTATTTGGCCATCTTAAGGAACTCGTGTGATTTGAACATTGTTGTTTTTAAAAAGAGATAAGAATACACAAAGGAATTATTCATAGACAGATAGCCTAGTCCAGCATTACAAATGTGAAAGCCCCACCAACTGCCTCCTTCTACCATTTTTTTTTCAGCATAAAGGAAGCATAGTATAGAGTTAAGTAGACTCTAAAGTCCTTATCTTTAATGTTGTGGCCCTAAGTGTGCTGCTTTTTACCGTTCTGTTCTTGAACATGGCATAAGGAACTTATTGAAGCCACATGGAATCATAGGCTGGGTGCTCTTGTATGTCATTTAACCCATATCCCCAACCTCAAAACACAACTATATTGTAGCTCTGTGGGATTATTGAGTTTATTGGGAAGTTATTTTCATAATTTTTTTTGAATAGCTTATGAGTTTCTAAAAATCTCCTCAAATTCAGTTTCCTTGGAAAGCCTCTGCTGTAAATTTGTGTGAATGCTGGAGTTGTTCTCTTAATGTTCTTAGCATCTGTCCTCTAAAAATTTTTCCTGACTGAAGCTATTAATAAGAGTATTTATAGGCCTCTCTAAGTATCTGCCCTTATGTCTGGTCTTCCCATAGATTAAAGAGTGCCTTTTGGAACTCTTTATTTGGAATGGTAAATACTGCTTTTTAAAGACCCTTAAGAATAAAGATGTAATGAGGATTTAAGGATTAGTAGTTTACTTCAGAATTTAAAAAATATATATATTAGGGGAAAATAACAGATGTATAAAATATCTGAGGCCCCTAACCTTTTTTATCTATGGTCTTTTTTCTTTTAGCATATATACGTTTCCATCTAATTTCACCGTTGATACAGAAATCTGCAGCAAAGTAAGCAATTGTCTTTTTTTCTGGAAAATACATTTTTTAGTTATTGAAAAACTATTTTGTTTCATTCTAAATCATTCTGTCATTTTCTCTATCCATATTTGAGCTATGTTGCTGATTTATGTATTTTTTTCTGTACTCCAAACAAGTTATTTGTATTATTACCAAACATTAAAATGGAACTGTGGCTGCTCCATTACCAGCACCCATTGGTAAAACATGCTGATAGTGTAGACTAGAGCAATTAGTTCCCAGTTACTGGATGGGGAAAAGTCCTTAAAGATCAGTTTGGGTGAGTGCCCAGTCTATAATGAGACTGATGGATCTGTTGATTCTGTATTTATAGACTACCAAGGAATGTGATTGTTCCTGTTCTTAGCAAATCCCTTATATATTTATGTAGATAGCTTTCATTGTGGGTGGTCGGAGACCCTAAAGTGTATCTGAACATAGGAGATATTTGGGAAATGTGTCTGAATATAGGAGATACTTGGGAAATGTGTCTGAATGTAGTTGATATTTCGGAAATGTGTCTGAATATAGGAGATACTTGGGAAATGTGTCTGAACGTAGTTGATACTTCGGAAATGTGTCTGAACCTAGGAGATACTTGGGAAATGTGTCTGAACATAGGAGATACTTGGGAAATGTGTCTGAACGTAGGAGATACTTGGGAAATGTGTCTGAACCTAGGAGATACTTGGGAAATGTGTCTGAATGTAGCAGATACTTGGGAAATGTATCTGAACTTAGGAGATACTTGGGAAATGTGTCTGAACCTAGGAGATACTTGGGAAATGTATCTGAACATAGGAGATATTTGGGAAATGTATCTGAACGTAGGAGATACTTGGGAAATGTGTCTGAACGTAGCAGATACTTGGGAAATGTGTCTGAACCTAGGAGATACTTGGGAAATGTGTCTGAACATAGCAGATACTTGGGAAATGTGTCTGAACGTAGGAGATACTTGGGAAATGTATCTGAACGTAGGAGATACTTGGGAAATGTGTCTGAACGTAGCGGATACTTGGGAAATGTGTCTGAACCTAGGAGATACTTGGGAAATGTGTCTGAACGTAGGAGATACTTGGGAAATGTTGGTGCATTTCTTCTTTCTTTTCCTACGTAACTGTAAAATCCAAACTTAAAATGACAAGCAGCACTAGAATTTGTTAATATTCACTCTAAAAAATGCATTCCCAAACTCATATTTTTAATTAGTCAGAATGCCTAGACTTGGAGGGTAGACAGAGCCTTCAGGCCAGTGCTGCTGATGCCTATTCCATTTACCTCATTGTACAATATAAATATTATCATTTTGCATGTGTACATGACATGAAAAAGATTGGGAAACACTGCTGAAGGTAGGAATTCTGTAATACACCTCTGAAACTGAATCCTGAGTAAGCTGTATTACCTTTTACATTCTGGAGTAGAGAATTTATACTTTCTAAAAATGAAGCTGCTTACTCTAAATTGAAGCAAATCTATTTCATGTGTCTTTCTTACCAATTAAAGATGCCATTTGCATTTTGTACTTCTTAGTGTGGTCCTCTTTGATATCTTTGTCAATATCCTTACGCATAACCTTGCGGAACCAGCTTATGAAGCAGATGTGGCACAGCTGGAGTATAAACTGGTAGCTGGAGAACATGGTTTAATTATTCGAGTGAAAGGATTTAACCACAAACTACCTGTAAGTACAAGTACTCTGTTTTCCTTATAGAGAGCATTAAAATACCATATTTATTTAGAGGTTTGTGCATGGGATGCTGTATAGAGAAATAAATGTTTATTAATGTGGATTATCTTGAATATTCTTGGCTGATGACAGCTATTCTAACTGTGACTGACTATCCATAAGAACAACATATGTTTCATTAATTACTGGCAGTGCATGGGATTATAGCCCATGCTTTAGGATTGATTTCACTTCCCTTTGCTGTCAGTTTCTCCACAACCAACACTGGCATTTAGGATTGGTTCTAGCTAAATTTTTTACCATACAGGAATAACCTTTTTTTTTTTTTTTTTTGAGACAGATACTCACTCCATCACCCAGACTGGAATGCAGTGGTGTGATCTTGGTTCACTGCAACCTCCGCCTCCCGGGTTCAATCAGTTCTCATGCCTCAGCCTGCTGAGTAGCTGGGACTACAGGCACGCACCACCACACCCAGCTAATTTTTGTATTTTTAGTAGAGATGGGGTTTCTCCGTGTTGGCCAGGCTGATCTCGAACTCCTGACCTCAAGTGATCTGCCTGCCTCAGCCTCTGAAAGTGCTGGGATTATAGGCGTGAGCCACCATGCCGGCTGTGGAATAACAAATTTGACTGGTGTTTTGCCTGAAATAGAGTAGAACTCAAATGCTTGTGCCCTTACTTCCTCATCTTATGCTCCTCATTGTTTCAAGTATGTGTGTCTTGTTTCCCTTCTAAGTTTATGAACCTTTCCGAAGCAGGGTCTGTATCATGTCAGTTATTAATCTCTTAGTGAGAAATATGTTCCAGTATTGCTTCATCAAAAACTTCATAAGAGGAGGAAAAAATAATGGGTTGTTAGCTAAGAGAGTTAGATTACTGAATACCAGGTAAAGCAATATAATATACTCAATAATAAATTTTATATCTAGGTTTCTTGGGTAGAATATATATTATATTAAGATTTAGGGAAATAGGGTTATACAAGAAAAATTTTAGAGGAAAGGACCTGCCAGAAAGACCTGTGCTAGGTGTTAATAGCCTTCATCTGGGCAAAAACCCAAGAGAAGAGTATAGCTCTCACCTTTTTATGCCTTTTCCCTTCTCCATCTCCCCATGGAACAAAGATTGGTCTCAGAAGGAGACGCCATCAGTAAAGAACTATCAGCGGACATTACATTAACTGATAAAATGATGATCACTGACATCAGCAACAAGCCAAGAATAATTTTACTTTGTCAGCCTCTGAGGCCTAAATATAATGTAGCTTAAGTTTCAAGCAGATTAAAGCCTAATTCAGTGGTTGTCATTTGGAAAATATGTTTTAGAATTACCTGGAGAGCTTATTAAAAATACAAACCATGGAAAAGTATTTGATATTCTTGAATTTGTGAGACTTAGCCTTAATATTAAAACCTAATATATAACATATATATATGTATGTATGTATGTATAGAAAACTAGAGATCAATTTTATCTGTAGAATATAGATGTAAACTTTCTAAAAATTAAATCCAGTTTAGCAAAAAGAATAATTCAAGTACCAGGAATGCTAGGGTTGTGGAATATTAGGAAATTGATGATCATAAGTCACCACAACACAAGTCAAAGGAGAGCCACTGTATGAATATAGTGATAAATGCTGATAAATCATTTGATAAATTTGAGTTGGCATTCCTAATACATAGGAATGGAAGGAAATTAATTAAGTATAAAAACCTCAGCCTGGCGCGGTGGCTCACGCCTGTAATCCCAGTGCTTTGAGAGGCTGAGGCGGGCGGATCACGAGGTCAGGAGATCGAGATCATCCTGGCTAACACAGTGAAACCCCGTCTCTACTAAAGATACAAAAAATTTGCCAGGCGTGGTGGCAGGCGCCTGTAGTCTCAGCTACTCGGGAGGCTGAGGCAGGAGAATGGTGTGACCCTGGGAGGCGGAGCTTGAAGTGAGCCGAGATCGCGCCACTGCATTCCAGCCTGGGCAATAGAGCGAAGACTCCATCTCAAAAAAAAAATCAAAAAACCTCAAGTAAAGAACTATCAGCGGACATTACATTAACTGATAAAATGATGAACACTGACATCAGCAACAAGCCAAGAATAATCCACAATCATCTCTATTATTCTGTTATTGTTTTAGAGGTTCTGGCTATTAGAGTAAGATGAAAAAATAAAAACTTTTTTGGAAAAAATATTTTTCCTTGCAGATGATATGATTGTATTCTTAGAAAACCTCATATACCACTAAAATTAAAAAAAAAATTAGGTGTGATATGGCTGGTCAAAAGACTAGTATATCAGAATCAATGGCTTTTTCTCCCCCATAGTACCAGTAATCACTTAGAAATGGAAGCCAGGCACAGTGGGATGTGCCGGTGGTCCCAACTCCTCCGGAGTATGAGGCAGGAGAAATACTTGAGTTTGAGGATACTTAGCTATGATCGTGTCACTAGCCTGTGCGATATAGCGAGGCTCTGTCTCTTAAAAAAAGAAAGAAACAAATGGATGGAAACAATCTTACATTTATTTACAATATTGAGAAAAAAAAGCCAATAAAATGGCTAAGAATAAACAGGAAAAGTATAGGATCTATCTGAAGACAAACTACAAATCTTATTGAGAACACCCATGAAATGATAAAAAAGGAAGAATTGTTCCAAATTTGACAATTATTTAGAATTTTGGACCCTTAAGATTCTTTGAGGCTAGGAGGCTGAGGCAGGAGGATCACTTGAGGCCACGAGTTTGAGACCAGCCTGGCAACATAAGAAGACCTTGTCTGTACAAAAGCAAAAAAATTAGCCGGGCATGGTGGCCCCTGTCTGTAGTCCCAGCTACTCAGGAGGCTGAGGTGGGAGTATGGCTAGAGCCTAGGCATTCGAGGTTATAATGAATTACAGTCGATAGTACCACTGCACTCCAGCCTGGGTGACCAGTGATATCCTGTCTCCAGGTAACACCCAAACAAACAAACGAACAAATTGAGTTGTTAGTAATTTTCTTATGTCCCCCCACAATGCCTAGTTCCATGCTGGGTACCTGGTAAAAACCAAAGAGAAACATTTCCCTCCCTAATACCTAGTGGATTTCCATGCTTCTTAAAATGCTTCCTTCTTTTTCTTTTAGCTACTGTTTCAGCTCATTATTGACTACTTAGCTGAGTTCAATTCCACACCAGCTGTCTTTACAATGATAACTGAGCAGTTGAAGAAGACCTACTTTAACATCCTCATCAAGCCCGAGACTTTGGCCAAGTGGGTATAAATGAGATGAGCTTATATTTTGAGGACCTGAAAGTATTACTCTCCCTAGTGGGTGGGTGTGGGGGTTAAGGCTATAGTTGCAGTGCTAATTTTCATCCGTGTTTGAATCGTGCTCTAGTTTAGGAGACCCGTGCATAGCGTTACGGTATTTCTAAACCCAGCTTATGTAGCTAGCTGTGAATGGGACTGAAAGCAGCTTACTGTAGAGACTAAAAGTAAGGAAGGGTGTTTTCACCAATCATTATACCTGAATGTTAAAGAAGTGCTAGTTTTAGGCCGGGCATGGTAGCTTATATCTGTAATCCCAGCACTTTGAGAAGCTGAGGTGGGAGGATCACAAGCCTAGAAGTTCAAGACTAGCCTGGGCAATATAGCAAGACTTCATCTCTACAAAAAATTAAAAAATTAGCTGGGTGTGGTGGCACATGCCTGTAGTCCCAGCTACTTGGCAGACTGAGGTGGGAGGATTGCTTGAGCCCAGGAGGTTGAGGCTGCAGTGAACCATGATCATGCCACCGCACACCAACCTGCATGACAGAGATAGACCCTGTCTCATAGAAAAACAAACAAAAAACAAACCAGAAGAAGTATTTACTGGTGATTTTAGTATGTTGGTGATTAGTAGCTGAGTTAAATTGCTAAACATGTCACTTATCTAGCAATCTTAACTATCCAGAATTCAGCCAAGCTTCCAGAAGAGAGCAGAAAGGCAGCTACACAGTCTGTATGCTAATACTTAAACCCTCTGCTCACAGGCAACCCCCTTGGGCCTTCATTCAGAGCCTGTTCTTACTACTTTAGTCCAGGGCTAATTGTAGCCTGTAGGATACTTTTGCGTGAATCAGAAAAAAGTATCCTTCTGAGGTACCCTCTATTAGCAGGTAGAGCCTTTGTGGGAGGGAGAGAAAAGTCCTCTGAACAGACCTACCCCTTTGTGCACATGACTGGCTAGCCCCTACTTGACAGTTTTGCCCTGGGCATCTATAAATAGTGAACAGCGTAAAGGTTCTGCTTTTGACACAGCTGTAATGAACCCATCAGTTTCCAGAATTAGAAAGAAGGGGTTAGGAATCAGTCATGTAATAACTGATATTCTGATCACAGAAAGTTACAAAAACTAATAACTAGATATATGTTAGAAAGGACATGGACACAGGGAGGGAACATCACACACCAGGGCCTGTTGGGGGGTGGGGGTGCTGGGGGAGGGATAGTGTTAGGAGAAATACCTAATGTAAATGACGAATTGATGGGTGCAGCAAAACTAACATGGTACATGTATACCTATGTAACAAACCTGCACATTGTGCACATGTACCCTAGAATTTAAAGTATAATAATAAAAAAAGGAGAGTTATCTGCAACCATTGATACGGTGAATAGCCCTGCCAATAACTCATGAATACTACTTTATTTATTTATAAAAATACATTATTAAACACAACCTTCTATTTTATTAAAATTCAACTCCTGAAATTTACTTTATAAAAGAATAATAATAAACCTGTTTGTTGAAGATTTTTGTGCTAGATCTAAGAACTGTTATATAAATTCATTAATTCAATTCTATCCAAAACGGTTACCTCTCACGAATACTTCCCCTGTTTTACAAATGAAGAAATTGAATCATAGATGTTAGTAGATTTGTCAAATTCAAACAGCTTATTTGGGGTGGGGTTGTGGAAATGGGGGATGAAGTTAATCTGATTCTGGACCAGAGCCGTTACCTGTATTATATTGTCACTGCAGTAATAGATATCCCAAATGATGGCTTCTAGTAATTAATGAAATATTAGTGAGATTTCAAACCAAAATAGTAATAATTTTAAATCAGTGTACAACTAAGTAAACTTGACTCATCTGGCAGCTTTACTTTTATGTGAAATATTTTACCCTGCAACTGAGACAGGTAAGTGCATTTTTGTACTGCTAAGTAAATTTGTTTAAAGTTTGTGTATGTGGTTTTCAGTACTTTTTTGGTTAATCTGATACTGTTTTCCCATCTTACATTGTGATAAAAATGGTCTCTCTTTAGAAACACATCCTTTATAGAACTTTGACCAAACATTTCTTTATTCTGAAGATTCATTTCTAATAACAAAACTTTGAGTGTTTTTTTTCTGCCCTCTGTACAGAGATGTACGGCTTTTAATCTTGGAATATGCCCGTTGGTCTATGATTGACAAGTACCAGGCTTTGATGGACGGCCTTTCCCTTGAGTCTCTGCTGAGCTTCGTCAAAGAATTCAAATCCCAGCTCTTTGTGGAGGGCCTGGTACAAGGGAATGTCACAAGCACAGTGAGTGTGAGATGCTCTGTAGGCCAGGTCTGAATGCAGTTGTGAACTCTGGAATTGCCATAGTTCTTTCCTAAAGGGGAAGCTGTAGTTTTGGCAGGCCAGCATTATCATATTCTGTTTAGAAGGGAACCTGACCCCTCTGATGCTGGGCAGCTTTCTTCTTAAGATGAAGACTGCTGGGCTGGGAATGATGGCTCACGCCTGTAATTTCAGCATTTTGGGAGGCCAAGGCAGAAGCATTACTTAAGGTCAGGATTTCGAGACCAGTCCAGGCAACACAGTGAGAACTCATCCCTACAAAAAATAAAAAATTAGCCAGGCATGGTGGCACATGCCTATAGTCTCCGCTACTTGGGAGGCTGAGGTGGAAGGATCATTTGAGCCCAGGAGTTTGGGGCTACAGCATGCTATGATTGCACCACAGTATTCCAGCCTGGGCAACAGAGTAAGACCCTGTCTCAAAAGAAAAGAAATAAAGAAAGAGAGAGAGAAAAATAGATTGCTGGTAATAGACTAGGATTTTGAGTGAAATGGGTTTGGCGTATCTATACTGTTTGTTACCTTTGTTGAAGATTGTATGTGGAAACCATGAACAGTTTAGTATAGAGGCTAAAATGGGAGGAAGGAAATGGTGAGGGATGTGTGTGCATACATACGGATACATACATAGATACATACATACATAGCCAGAACTAGTATGTCAAGCCTGTTTGTGAAGCTAAGGTGCTGGGCTTTATCCTGTAGAAATGGAGAACCATTAAAGGATTTAAGAAGATTTGTGGTTAAGAAATATCCAGAGAGACAAGTTATGAAGCTGTTTTAAAGTACAGATATGATTCCACTCATAGGAGTTATCTAAAGTAGTCAAATTCATAGAAGCAGAAAATATAATGGTGGTTTCCAGTAGTTGGGGAGAAGAGGGAAGAGACAAGTTATTTTATGGGTACAGAATTTTGGTTTTGCAAGATGAAAAAGTTCTGAAAATCTAATCTACTGCACAACAGTGTGAATATAGTTAACATTATTGAACTGTACCCCTTTTTTTTCTGAGACAGAGTCTCGCTCTGTCACCCAGGCTGGAGTCCAGTGGCGTGATCTTGGCCCAACTGCAACCTCCACCTCTTCGGTTCACGCCATTCTCCTGCCTCAGCCTCCCAAGTAGCTGGGACTACAGGCACCTGCCACCTCACCCAGCTAATTTTTTGTATTTTTAGCAGAGATGGGATTTCACCGTGTTGGCCAGGATGGTCTCGATCTCCTGACCTCGTGATCTGCCCACCTCGGCCTCCCAAAGTGCTGGGATTACAGGTGTGAGCCACCGTGCCTGGCCCTGAACTGCACACTTTTAAAAATGGTTGAGATTGGCCAGGCGCGGTGGCTCACGCCTGTAATCCCAGCACTTTGGGAGGCCGAGGTGGGCGGATCACAAGGTCAAGAGATCGAGACCAACCTGGCCAACATGGTGAAACCCCGTCTCTGCTAAAAATACAAAAATTAGCCGGGCTTGGTGGCACATGCCTGTAGTTCCAGCTACTCGGGAGGCTGAGGCAGGAGAATTGCTTGAATCCGGGAGGCGGAGGTTGCACTAAACTGAGACTGTGCCACTGCACTCCAGCCTGGGCGACAGAGTGAGACTCCTCGTCTAAAAAAAAAAAAAGTTGAGATTATAAACTTTATATTATTTTATCAAAATAAAAAGCTGGAGTGAAGGCTGTGCAAGGCGGCCCACGCCTGTAATCCCAGCACTTTGGGAGGCTGAGGCAGGCAGATTGCTTGAGGCCAGGGATTCAAGACCAGCCTGGCCAACATGGTGAAAACCTGTCTCTATTAAAAATGCAAAACTTAGCCAGGTGTGGTGGTGGGCATCTTGTAATCCCAGCTTCTTGGGAGGCTGAGGCAGAAGAATCACTTGAGCCTGGGAGGCAGAGGTTGCAGTGAGCCGAGATCACGCCACTGCACTCCAGCCTGGGTGACAGAGTGAGAGTCTGTCTCAAAAAAAAAAAAGAGTTGGGAGTGAAAAATATTGAAGCCTGATGTTAGGCCAAATAAATGAAAAATAATTGCTTAAGGCTGGACATGGTGGCTTATGCCTGTCATCCCAGTACTTTGGGAGGCTAAGGTGGCAGAATCGCTTGAGCTCAGTAGTTTGAGACCAGCCTGGGCAACATAGTGAGACACCACTTCCAAAAAAATTAAAAAAAATTAGCTGGGTGTAGCAATGCACACCTGTAATCTCAGCTACTTGGGGGCTGAGGTGGGAGGATTGCTTGAGCCCAGGAAGTGGAGGCTGCAGTGAGCTGAGGTCATGCCACTGCCCTCCAGCCTGGGCAATAAAGCAAGACCCTGGTGTTTTTTTTTGTTTGTTTAAAGAAGTGCTTAAGAAATAGAAGATGATGGAAATTCACTCAGTGGGAGTGAGAGAGAAGGCAGTCTAGAATGATGCCCAGATTTCTTTCTTGAAGCAGTGGGTTGGTGGAACAGGAACAGTAGTAAGAGTGGGAGCATATGAGGAGTTTGTTCTGATACGTATTTAGTTGGAAATGTCTGTGGGGCCTTGTACCTGACTAAGGCCTTTTCCTCAGTCAGATGCTTGTTCAAGATTCTCTCCCTGAACTGTTTTGTTATTAACCATCCTCCTCCATGCCTTCCCAGTTTCTCAGGGCTGGCCCTTTGATTGGAATATATAAATGGCCACTCTTGAAATTGTGGCTGCTATCCTCCCCTTTCTCTCTATCTTCATTCTGCAACCCCAGAACCAGCCTTAGTTTCTGTCTTGGCCACCAAAAGAATCTTAAGTCTCAGTCCACAAAGGGAAGAGAAGAAATAGGCTGCCTGTTTTTCCGAGCACCGTTGAAGTACCAGGCAAGGGCTTTTGATACAGAGTCCTTAGTACCATGAATTTCCTCCAGTAGAAATCACTTTAGAGAAGAGCTAATCCCTCCATTTATCCCTTATTTTATAGATAAGAAAACAGAATTCTTAAGAAGGGAAGAGGATGTATTCACTCAGTATTAAATGTTATTTTCTTTGCTTTATCCAGGTTCTATGTCAATGGGCCCAGGATTCTGAAACATAGTCCATGTTGTCATAAAGGCCACAGCCTAGTTGGGTAAACCAACACTGAACAATTAAGTTTGATCCAGTTGGGAAACTGTATTATGGGTAAACAGATTGCCAAGAGAGCCAGAACAGTTAAGAGCTGCTTAGTGTTCCACAAACACAATCAATCTTGAATCAGTCAATGAATAACTTGCCAGCATTTAGGTCACCAACTATATCTGCTTTCCTAAAGCTATGCAGGGCTCCCCAAGCAATTGGAACATTGATATTAGCTGATTCTGGGTGAAATGAATGTCTAGAGAGCTTAATGTAGTTATTCTCTTTTGCCTCTTAGGAATCTATGGATTTCCTGAAATATGTTGTTGAGTAAGTATTTGAATTTTCTCTTTGGGGTTATGTGTTCTTACCAGCGAGAGGGCATGGAGCCACAATTCAGTTAATTGTTACTAAACACCCAATTGAAATACTACTTGTAGTAGATTTTTTTGAGGCTGGTGTACAAGGCAATTGAAAAGTTAGAAGGCCTAGCTTCTTATAGTTTTTGGGTGCCTCAGTGACCCATACTGATTCTCTTGCAGCAAACTAAACTTCAAGCCTCTGGAGCAGGAGATGCCTGTGCAGTTCCAGGTGGTAGAGCTGCCCAGTGGCCACCATCTATGCAAAGTGAAAGCTCTGAACAAGGGTGATGCCAACTCTGAAGTCACTGTGTACTACCAGGTCAGTTGGGTGTACTAAAGACTGGCGGAAGGCCCAGTGCCTGGGGATCAGGGACCCCGTGACCTTCAAGGCCCTTTTATAGTTACTTCTGTAGTTTCATGCTTGGGGCCATTTGTCCTCTTGAAGCAACTACATTTAAAAATTGCTCCTGTTGGTAAAATGGATCCTTTTTCAATCACAGTGAGGTATTGCTTCATTAATCACCTAAGTACTAATCTAGAGGGCCAGAAACCGAGGTGTGGGTGGAAATCCCTACATGTGCCCCTGATAGAACTCCCAAGTAGCAGAAGGACATTTGTTAAGGGGCAGTTTTGAAAAGAAGACAGAAGTAAACATAGCCAAACAATTAAGACACAGCAAAGAGAACGACTACTAGAGTCATAAATGTTTAAAGCACCTGAGAGGAAGGATTTATCACCTCTGTTTTAGGGTGACAACTCCATGATCCAGAGCCCCTTACTTCTTGAGGTCGTACCAGCTGGGTCTCAGATTATTCCTTTTGTCTTCAGATTCTGTGTTCTTTCCACACCATTCTACTGGGGTGTGTGGTGCTTAAAGGAAGGAAGCACGTGGCAGTAATCACAGTTAGCTCTAGCCTATAGCCTGCTTTAACCTGTGGTTGGTCCCACTCGCTTCTAGAACCACGGGGATCTTCCTTAAACCTTGCCTGTCTAGTCTGATTACTGACTCCCCAAATTCTGGGGCTCCTGTAGCCGCTGCTGTTATCTTGGGTTCCCTGCATCAGGAATTCACTTCTTTGTCAGGTCTTGTGAAGATCCCTGACTGGGCTTTGGGTGGGATGGACTGATTATCATTTCTTTGTCTTGTATCTCTGCCCCTGGGCCTCAGCCTTATTCTGACATTATCCTGGTCTGGCTGTCAGGAGCAAATTCACTTGCCCGATGTCACGGTCATCTCTTGTTAGTGAAGTTGTGTCTTGTCCTAGTCTTCTTAATGAGTACTTTGATTCAGGAGCAACAGCACTTTTGGAGCTAGGTTGATAATATTTTTGTCCTTCCGTAGAGGCCCTGCTTCTCTCTGGAGCCTCTGTGGCTGTAGCATTCCAACCTGCAGCCTCTTCTAGGTTATGACTACCAGGTCCCAAACTCCACAAATGGTACAGCCTAGCCTTTCTTAACCTAGTCTACATTTTCAGTGCCTCTGACTGCTTACAACCCCGGTACAGGAGTACTCATTTTCGGCAGGATTTCACATTGTAAGACTATGTTTATAGAAATGCTTTCCATCAGTCACCTCTTAGCACTAGCTTCTAATACAAACTGTTCCCTTTTGGAAACCATATCCTTTCTCAGAGAGCATTGGTTTTGTTGTGGTCTGTTTAGAGGGAAACAGAAAATCTCAATGCTGACTAATCAGGTCTTGCAAGGGCACATAGGCATTAGCCTCTTCCTCTGGTGAGTGGGAAGCAAATGAGTCTGTGTGAGAGGAACCTGCAAGATCCTGACTCTGGGAGGCACTAGCAACATCCTTGTTTATTGGCCTCCTGTCCTTTCATTCTGAATGCATTATTTTGCCAGTCTTGGGCAGCTAGCATGTGGTCCCAAAGCGTGGCTTCTTTCTCTGAAGTATTTTTCTTATCAACTGGTTTTGGTCCTTTTATGTGGCACTGGTTCTTGTTGTGTGGCACTATTCATTTTCTCTCCTCTTGAGGAATAGATCCAGATACATTTCAGGATCCCCAAACATTTCCTGCTGTCTTCCTTAGGGCTTTGAGTTGCAAGTACTTAATTTTAGAATGTGTCCTCTGACAGGATCTGGCAGGTCAGGGATTATTAATCTCACCTTTGTTTGCACCTGCAATTCTATGCTAGTGCCGGGAGTACAAATGGTCAAGCATGACTCCTGTCCTCATAGACCTTCAGTCTGGTGGGAAAGCAGATATGTAAACAACATCAAAGTATGATTAACTCTCTTGGGGGAGAGCGATTGGTGGTGATACCTAAGTGGTTGCCTAGAATAGCTGGATTATTTAAAAGCCCTGTAAACCACTGGATATTCAGTTGGCCTGACAACCTTCTCTTTTCAGTCAGGTACCAGGAGTCTAAGAGAATATACGCTTATGGAGCTGCTTGTGGTAAGTGCATAAAGGAGATGCTGAGGTTTTCAGCAGCCCCTGACCCACTATGAGGCCCGGCCTTTTCTGCCTGGGTTAGGGACATGGGGTAGTCAGAGATCTGTGATTTGAAGGTGAGATGGTCATTTACTGTTCTCACCCAGTATAAGCCTGGGCCAATTAGGAAAAAGGCACTAAGGGAGGCTGGACTTGGGAGGTATGTGAAACACTCTGGGGAGAGAAATGGAGGTTTCTCTGCTGGGAGGAGTTGGGCTGATGGGCAGTATGTTGAATTACAGATGCACATGGAAGAACCTTGTTTTGACTTCCTTCGAACCAAGCAGACCCTTGGGTAAGTCAGCTGGCAGGGCCACTGAGCTCAAATAAGGGCCTAGGGCTTACTTTGCAGGCTGTTCATCAGATATCCCTACTGAGCAGCCTGTTAGAGCTTCCTTCCATCTCATAGGGTGATATTTAGTCATCCAAACTTTTGGAATTTGTATCTTTGACTGTAATCAGGTTTTCAGTTTGGTCAAGTTTCAAGATAAGAAAAAAGGCTAGTTTGTGGTCCCCAATTCAGGAGAGGTATGGACACCTTAACATTTTTGGGTCCTGTTTCAGGACTTCCAGTTCCAATAAGGATGGGCAGAAACTTTTCCCACTCCTATCTAGTGCCTCCAAGGCCAGGGCCCAGATGATCACCTGAGCTCATATAACTTTTCTCTCTGGCTTGTAGGTACCATGTCTACCCTACCTGTAGGAACACATCCGGGATTCTAGGATTTTCTGTCACTGTGGGGACTCAGGCAACCAAATACAAGTGAGTGAGTGAGTGAATAGATGAGTGTAACCTATTATGGACATGGAGAGTAGGGGCTACATGTGTTTCCTTAAACCTTGGGCAACCCTGACCAAGCAGGTTTGCTCTATTTAGTCAGTGGAAGCTGGGAAGATGGGGGTTGTTATAGATGGTCTGTTCCAGGACTGATCAATAGTTCCAGTGGCCCTTTCAGACTTGATTCAAGTCCTGTGGTCATTGTGTGGGGCTTGCCAGTGTTTCTTCTCTTCAGGCAGACCTGAGGACAAGAAGGGAAAGGATGCCTGATCTGACAGGCATTGCTGAAACCTGTTAGTTTTCAGCTTTGGAATGGTCATACATGGTTGTGACTGCTTCATTATGAGGATACCAGGAAACTGGGCTGGAGGTGGGGTGAGGGGGAGGGTTCTTTCTCTTTCTGTCCTCAAAGTCAGGTGGAATACTGAGGCCTGGGAAAACACTTTAGCTTTTTTTCCTGGATATATGTCTTAGTCTTAATTCCTTCTTTTGCCTTCTGCCTGAGATCGGGTTTCTGATGACTTAATTGAAGATGTTTTGTTTTAGTTCTGATTGAAGATGTTTTGTTTCAGTTCTGAAGTTGTTGATAAGAAGATAGAAGAGTTTCTTTCTAGCTTTGAGGAGAAGATTGAGAACCTCACTGAAGAGGCATTCAACACCCAGGTGACTGTGCCAGCCTGGTCTTTTGGCCTTTGGCCCACACAAGCCCCCAGATACAAATCTTAACAGGGCTTCGCCGGCCAGTTTTTGAGCTTTGCAGCCCCACCTTCCTCTTACAATAGTGTCTCCCTAGCTTCATCCGTGCCTCTTATACTGGCATGTCCATCACAAGCCGGGCTGGACAGGGCCCAGTGTGTTCTGTGGGAAGTGGTATGTTGCCTCACCTGAGCATCTTTCTTTTTGGTGGGAACAGGTCACAGCTCTCATCAAGCTGAAGGAGTGTGAGGATACCCACCTTGGGGAGGAGGTGGATAGGAACTGGAATGAAGTGGTTACACAGCAGTACCTCTTTGACCGCCTTGCCCACGAGGTAACATGGTTTTCAGAGTAAGACAGCTCAAACTGGTCAAGGTTCCTGATTCTACAGGCATCACAGGTCTGTGCACACCAGCATTGTGTGGAAGAGAAACTCGAAACACTAGTCCTGGCCTGATTACTCGCTCACTTCCTGAGTTTTCAGACTGGCCTCTCTAGCACCTTAGGTGGCCACGTGAGCTGGGTGCTAATCCTTACCACACCACCACCAATTTCAATCAGAGCAGCTCTATTTTTATGCTATATATTGAGGTCTACAAGATTTTGTGGAGAAAAAGAGTTTTGCCGTTTAAAGAAAATTGAGGACTCTTTGTCTTTACGGAGTTCATTATTCCAAGTGCATGTGTTTTGACAACTTCTATTCCAAAGTAGTAAAACCTATGAAAAAGATCTGGATCTTGTACTCCAGTGTGACTTTGGTTAATACATAGCCCCTACATGGTGAATTACCATAGGACATCATTGCTCTGTGATGTAAAGAGGTTATTTAGTAAGAGGCTTCATCTTAACACATTTTAGTTTTCTTAATAGAAGCAAGGTAGATTTCCTCAAGCCGTGGTATGCAGCTACCATGTAATTGGGAGGTGACACTAAGGGGATGTGGGTGTTGGGCTCAGTGTATGGTATTTAGCTGTAATTATAGCATCTGCTAACCTCTCTTGCCATTGTAGATGATTGGTATAAAATGTGAAGGCATGCCAGAGAGCTTCATCATCGTTTTGGTCTGGAAGGTTAGGGGTAACCTGAGAATAGGAAGAATAAAATGAGGTCTTCAGATGCTAAGCAGGTCCAGGGACATCTGCCTGGGGGTTAGGTTTAAGAGCTATCTTTCTTCTTGAATTTCTTTCCTATCTTCCCTTCCCTTGTAAGATTGAAGCACTGAAGTCATTCTCAAAATCAGACCTGGTCAACTGGTTCAAGGCCCATAGAGGGCCAGGAAGTAAAATGCTCAGCGTTCATGTGAGTATGTTTAACTAACTCCATCCATTCTAGGGTTGTCATTTACTGAGTGAGTTTGGGTGGTTATCATCAGAACTCTTAAACCCCTAAATCTGGTCAGCATATTTTTCACTTTTGTCTTTGTCCTCTTTCAGGTTGTTGGATATGGGAAGTATGAACTGGAAGAGGATGGTACCCCTTCTAGTGAGGATTCAAATTCTTCTTGTGAAGTGATGCAGCTGACCTACCTGCCAACCTCTCCTCTGCTGGCAGATTGTATCATCCCCATTACTGATATCAGGGCTTTCACAACAACACTCAACCTTCTCCCCTACCATAAAATAGTCAAATAAATAAACTGCAGTCACGTTGGCCTGAAGCAATGTGTATTTTAAAATGTGTTTGTTTGTATTTTATGGAGTTAGTTATACTACTGCCTTAGGGCTTCCATTGAAGTTTTGCACTGGCATCATAGCATTTGATTTACTTTTTATCCTTTGTTGAGACTAATAAACCCAGGGTTACTGTAGGAGCTGGCAAAGGAAAATTAGCAGAATGGGCCAAGCGAGACCAGAAAGCCTGCAGCAGCACTTTGAGAAGCCCTGGCCTGTGTCCTCTCAGACTGAGAATCTACTTCTTGAAAGGCCTTACGTAACCAGTATATTGAATAACTAACTAAATGCTAGGTACTAATACCTGTTTTTTTAATGTATTTTTAAATAAAAAAGATGATAGATAGATAGATAGATATAGTTCTGTATTTCCCTTCAGAATGAGCCATCTGCTGCTGTGGCATTCATTTTATTCTATCTATCTATCTATTTTTGTTCACTGTGGGGTGGGGATCTATAAATACACACTCTTCCCAAACCCTCTAAGGCAATAAAACATTTTTGGATAAAATGTTGGTAGGCAGCCCTACATGTGCAATATGAGTTAAGTGAAGATTCTGGGGAATTGCCTGGCAGGGGCTAAAGACAGAACATACAATCTGACAGAGGAAAAGAATGGATCCTCCATTATTTCAAGTGTCTTTCTTTGAAAAGCTAGCTCTTGTATTCAAGGTTGCCAAATAATTGGCTTCCAAGTTTAACCATAAAAGATAATAAAAGATGCACATTTTTAAAAAAAAGGTTGGAAAAATTACTTTATGAAGCCTTAAGCACTAAGAATAATTAATTAAACTGTAATCCAGGATTAGATACAATTTAATAATAGTTCAATTCCAAAATAAAAGTTATTGTAGGTAAGACCATGAAATTTCCTAACACTTGATTTTAATACATTGCGCTAATTTTCTAAAACAACTCAGAGGAACCCATATTTACAGTAGGCAGAATATTTATGAAAAAAATCTGGCATCAGGTATATTTATATATATGTATGTGTGTGTATACGTATGTGTGTGTATATATATGTGTGTGTGTGTGTGTATCCCGAGATTATATGAACTAAGAAACAAGTTGTGTATCTTAACAGCAGTACTAGAGCGCAGAGTTTCAGACTTGGATTTATAAATGCTTTCAACGTGTGGTGTTTGGAAAAGGAGAAGACATCATCTGATTTTCAAAACCTGAAGTTTTTCTCAGGACTGAAGTCAAAATCGTAACTGCCACAGAGGGAAAAGGGAAGCTTTTCCCCTTAATTGTTCATCTGCGTCAGAAAGTCCAGTATCCCTGAGATAGGAACCACTGTAATTAGAAGATTGGAATGAACAGGTTTCTCCCAAAGGAAGATTGTTTGTTGCTGAATTATGCCTACTGCCCTGATCATCAGGTATAAACTTTGCATCTTCCAACCTAATGCTTGGCAGCACCAAGACGTTTCAGTAATGGTTCATCATAAACCCAGCATTCTCCATCTTCATGAAATAACTGTAAGACAAAGAGGAAGAATTTAGTTACATATTTGCTTTGTACTTCTGTAATATACTTACTATTTCATATCTGCTCCCCACCCCGCCATTAGACTGAAATGAGTTTCAAGTAGGGACCAGCGATCATCTTGTTTATAAACAGTGTTTGGCACATCACTTCTTCAACATTCACTGAAATAAATTAGGAGGAACAGCACTTAGGAGGGTGGGGCAGGCAAGCTTACCCTTGTCTCCCACTGAATTTCCTTCTCCTTCCTTTCTCGGGCTTCTGCTCTTTGTCTTTCTTCAAGCCTGTGCTTTGCTTCAGTTGCTGCATCAATGTCTCTGATTTTTAAGTTGAAAGTGACATCCTTCCAAAGGCTAAAACAAAGAGGTAAGAGGAGCTGCCAATGTTGAGAATGAAAGCCTGCAGCCATCCTGAATATAGTATAATACAAGTCAAATGGCTTTAAGTGCTGTAGGTCACAGACTAAATCTCCTTACGCTGGCACCAGGGCACTGGAGTAAGGAACAGACATATGGGCTCAGAAGACTCCACTGCTAGTTGTCAAAGAAGGAAATAAGGGCTGCCTGATAGTATGATAAGGTCAACAGAAGAAAAAGAATAGTGGAAGCTGAGACCTGGGATTCTACTTCTGGCTCTATGTCTAACTTACTGTGCAACTCTGGGTCAATCAGTTTACCTCTGTAGGGCTTGAGTGTCCCTTAATATATACCTGTAAGTGTTAGAGGAACTGAGAAGTTCCATTTCAGAAAAACTCCCTTGGATTTAACAATATGATGGAGAAAATAGTATGAATGGAGAGAATAAGGGTCAAGAAGTAAATTACAGAGGCTTTAAAGTTAGTTAAGATGTGGCTTCCTCTCAAGGCCTTTATTCTCATTTCAGGAAAGAAGGTAAAGAGAAGTTAGCTGACTGAGCCATCCATGGTCACAAAGGTAGTAAGTGGTAGTTCTGACATACGAACCCAGGAATTCAAACTTGGTCTATACTATTATGCTCTGCCCTACTGTCTCTCAAACCCAGCCCTGTGCCTACGCCTAGGCAAAGTTTAAGCACTGCAGCAATAGTTCCACTTAACAATGTCGGCTTACCTGCGGGATTCATACTCGTTCTGATCTTCCAACTTCCTCACTTTCTTCTTGATTATAGGCAACTTCTTGGTATCTACAAAGACTGTATTTTCCTAGAAAACAATAGAGGTGGATGGGAACTAGACCCATAAACCCCTAACCTAATGTTAGATGCATTGTAGTGCTTTTGACACTTCAAATTCTCTAGGTCCAAAATGCAGTTAACTGGCTCCTCCTGTTAATTTCATAACATCTTTCCTCTGTTTAAGAACACTGAGTGGGCAGTAGTACAGAGTGCAAGTTCTTTGAAGGAAAGGTCTATCTTAACTCATTTTGGTATCTCTGGTGCCAGGCAGTCAGTAAATTTTATTATACAAAATCTTCAACTGTGTGTGTATGGAAACACACAGTTTAGTGCTTCATTTTATAAACATACGCCACATACCTAACATTTACTGGGTTCTTACTATGTGCCAGGCATTGTTTTACATATATTATTCTCAAGTGTTTTGAGAGCAGAGAGAAAAGTAAAAATGATTATAATTACCTATACTGCTGGGAGAAGGTGGGGGAAGGAAAGAAAAAGCTTGCCCTGAAGAGATGACATACACTGGAGCTGTCCTAAAGTTCCAGCTCTAATATACTGTAGAAGGAAATGCATTATGAAGGAAGTACTAATGAAGGAAGCCAGAAAAAGGGATAGAGTACAATCTAATGTAGCCTAAAACAAGTGGCAAAATAGAGGATCTTACCCCTGTTGCATATTTTGCATACATCACACCATTCCATTCCCCTTCAATTGAGCAAAAAGACTTCTTGTCATTTGGAGAACTGAACAGAAAAGGAAATACTTGTGTTAGTCTCAAGTTGAAAATTCTACCAAAGAATCTGCTCAGTGTGGCCCAACTACAGAGTAGAGCACAGAAGAGCAACTGTGAAGTTTTTGATGAAAGCATCTTAACAGAACTGGACTCCCCAGGGCTAACTATAAGAATGAGGGCCTTCAACAGGACGCTTATGAACTTGAGATCCCAAGAATGGTGGGTTTGGGCAAGAACGTCCTATTCTGGGTGCAAGGACCATAACAGAGTTGGCAAATTCCCTATCCTCAAGCTGTTCACAGCGTAGTGGAGAGAGACGTAACCACCATTGAAATTCTAGGTGGTAAGTGCTGTGGTGAGCTTACATGGGCACTGGGGGTCAGGGAAGGCTTTGCTTAAGAATATAATGCAGGCTTTCATCCTCAGGTTGAAAGGGACCTCTGTGCCAGATGGTGTGAATACTTTCCCTGAGCAAGGATCCATTCTGCAAAAGCCGTAACAGACCTCTACTTGGACACACAACTATGGAATGTGAGAAGATAAGCAACACAGCAAAGGCCTGGTTAGGAAGGGCAAGGCATAAACAGGATTGAAAGAGGCCAGAAAAGGGAGACATGACCAGGGCAGAGGGAGGAGAGCTGCTATCAACGCCTGAAACTTTCTTTCCCACTGTCCCCTTCCCCCCCAGTTAAGGGTTCCAGAGGCAGAGAGAGTCATGGTGCCATCACTATAGACTTTCCACTGACTGGCACAGTCATCTGCACGTGACCCAAGAGTGTCAAGTGGAAGCAAGCCAGATGCGTGCAAAATGTGATGGTTACTGTTTTTCCCCAGCAAAGGCACAGAAAAAGGGATAGCTGTGAGGACCAGGAGGCAGTGCTGCAGGGGTCACAAAGTCTGCTGTAAGGACCAGCTCATCATTCAATCTGGCAAGAATAAATTAGGGATCCATAATCTGGTTTAGCTAGGCAACCTAGGAAGGCCTCTTTTAGTTCAACATTGCAAGTCAGGTTTTTAGGAAGGAAACCTATCAATGACCTCTGACTGCTCTGAATATATGTTTTAGGTCTTCTTCTGATATGGGACTTCAGCAAAAGACATGACACATAAAATGTGAAACACGCTTACAAAGACAGAACCATTCTTTCACACTCCTAATCCAGAAGCTGTAGTTCAAGACAAAAGGCAGTTATTTCAGAAAAGCATAAGAGCTCTAAGGCAGAAAAAATACCTACAAAATCTCGGCAGTAATTCTGTGCTTCTTGCCCCCATAGAAGGGTTTAGTGTGGAAGATGATATTTGCACTATAGCCTGTTTTGGAACAATTAATATTGCATTCTCCTCCTAATTCCACCCAGGGCACTGTGAGGATAGACCTGCAAAATCAAAAGTTTTTAGGTAAGGTTGACAGTTAAGAGGAAGAGGGGGAAGGGGCATGTCTCAAGGAACAGCAGAGTCTACTGCTGATCAGAGGAAATGGACACACTTGCCTTCCATAGCCATTGGGGAATGTGAGAATGTAATGTTCATCATAGTCTAGACATGAGACACAGCCTGTGGAGAGAAGGGACAGAATCTCTGATGAGTAGTGCCAAGTGGCCACAAGGCTTTCTTGTCGAGCTGATGGTTACTCCAGGATACTCCATTCAATTTAGGGATAACCTATCTAGTTCCCCACCCTTTGCTCTCACCCCCAATACCAATGCTTAGTTGCTAACAATGACATCTAGTCTAGCCATTTTCATAAAATTCTCCTATAACATTGTAGTCCACCCAATGCCAACACACTTACCCTGCCCTATGTTGTGCACCCCAATTGACATCCCAAGGAATTTTGATTTGGTCCAGATATGAGCATTGAATTGTATCTTCTTGTTAAAACACTCAGCATAAAAGGCTGAAACTGAATAGAAATTTTCAATTAGTAGATTATATATACCTACAGCCACCTCTCCAAAATCACATAACCTGGGGAAATAATTGGCTTCATGGGGAAATCCTTTACCCTTCAAACAGCCTCCAATTACGCCAGGAGGTACCTACCTGCCTTTTATACCCTTTTCCCCAATGCAAGCATTCATTCAGAGCCACGTGGGCAGGATCATCCCTGAAATGATGCTGTGGCCAACCCAGGAAGCTTAAAACCAAAAGGGCTATCTGTTCTGGTCTGCAAGTACACCCAGGCTCCAGCCCCAACCTAGGCCCAGCCAGTGTTTCCAGTTTTAATACTGCACTAAACAAACCAGATGTTGAGGGTATGTACAGTTGACCCTCCATATCCATGGGTTTTGTACCCACAGATTCAGCCAACTGTGGATCTAAAATATACAGAGGCTGGGCTCAGTGGCTAACGCCTGCAATCCCAGTACTTTGGGAGGCCAAGACGGGAGGATCACTTGGGGCCAGGAATTTGAGACCAGCCTGGGCAACATAGTGATACACTGACTCTAAAAAAAAAAAAAAAAAAATAAGAAAATTAGTTGGGTGTGGTGGCACATGTCCATAGTCCCAGCTAACTGGGAGGCTGAGGTGGGAGGATCATGTGAGCCCAGGAGGCTGCAGTGAGCTATGATTGTGCCACTGCATTCCACCCTGGGGGACAGAGCAAGACCCTGTCTCAAAAGAAAAAATTTAAAAATACAAAATAAAAATAATACAAATAAATAGTGAAACAACTATTTACATAGCATTTACATTGTATTAGGTATTATAAGTAATCTAGAGATGACTCAAGTATACAGGAGGGTGTGCATAGGTTATATGAATATAAAAGACACCATTTTATGTAAGAGACTTCAGCATCCTCGGTTTTGGTATCTGCAGTATGCCAGGAATATACTGTGTAGAAACTACGTATCACTTATATAAACTGTCTCACAGTTGCTGAGGTCTCTACAGCACAAATTACTATATATAAGATGACTCTGGAAGCATTAAAAGTTGGTTTCCTAAATCCCTTCTTTTTATACGCACTTAATTTGTGAAGCTAAGAGTCTGGAGCTTACAAAAGGAAAAGATATGAGGAACAAATCAACTTGAGTTTCCACTTCAGGGAATAAGAAACACACAGCTAGTCACACAACTGACAGTACCCTCAGCTATGGCGCTTTTAATGACCCTCTTTAGACAGAATAGTTTTGAGAGCACAGGTTGCAGAGGAGCTCTGTAACTTACTGGGTGGATGATGGGAAACCTGCTCAGCCACAAATGTTACACTGTTTTTGGAAACCCAGGGAACTGGTCCTTCTGAAACTAGTTCCTGCAAGCAAATATAACATAATTTTCTTTTGATGAGAAAACACAAATGACATTTCAGAGAATCTGGTAATTGGGGTCTCTGCTCGCTCTACACACACCAAGCACCCTATATATATATTTCTATTGTAGAACTTAACTACAATATTTTAATTGCTTTGTGTCAGTCTCCCTGACTAGACTAAGACATTCTTAAAGGCAAGGATTGTGTGCCTCATTCAGGGCTGACAAGAGTAGGCACTTATCAATGTCTGCCAAATGAATAAGAACAGACACATACTTGTCTGTCTTCAGTATGGACTATACGTAGTGCATCACTTGGAGAGGGAAATATATGGAGAATCATGTTTACTGACAGATTATTATGTGTCAGGTGCTGTGGGCTATGGTTTTGTTTTTTTTACTTCTTAAAGCCTTTTTACATGCATTTGAGTCTTCCCTGCTGGTCATTTTCTTCAACCACTAAATTTGTTGGAGCCTCAGAGCCAGTTCTGGGTTACCTACTCTTCTGTAGCTATGCTGTCTTCCTAAATAATTTTATCCAATCCTAGAGCTTTAAAATGTCATCTAAATACACTATACTCTTTGAAAGCCCCATCCCCATCTCAGACCTCTCCCTAAACTCCACACTCTTAAATTCCATCTCCCTACTTGACAGCTTCACAGACCTCTAAAACTTTATATTTTATATTAGCTTTTGATTTTTCCCTCCCCAAATCCAATCTTTTCCTTATCAGTAAATGACACTGCCACTGCTTACATCCACATGCAAGGATTCATCTCTGATGTCTCCTTTCCCTTACCTCCCCCAATCCATCAATCAGTTCTACCTCCAAAATAAAGCTTGAATCACCATGTCTCTCTTGGAATAATGTCAAAACCTCCACAATGGTCTTCATGCTTCTATATTTGCCCCTTCTCAATTTATTTTTCACAAAATCATTCTATTGATCTTCTCAAAACAAAAATGAGATCCTGAAAAGCCATAAAATTATATTATGGTCTACAAGACCTTGCAAGATCTGATTTCTACATCCCCATCCTCATCTCATCCTACTCTTTTTCCTCCTTCTCACTACATTCAAACTATGCTGCTCTAACAACAATTTCTTCTATGGGTGGTGACCATCTTTTGATCATTGCTTTCATCATTATTATTTGCCCCTAAATAAAATCTTGAATCAGTATACAATTAAGATAATTTAAAAATGTCAATGCAGAACTCACTGTGTTCTCTTCAGTATCATTTGGTAATGTCCAATGACACTGAAAAATCTCGCCCAAAATGGGATTGTATGGCTTTTTGGCAACTGATCCTTTCCTTCCCGCATGAAAGGCTGAGAGGTACCATTTCACAACCTGAACCATTCGATCCTTGGGATCCTTCTGGTCACTAATGCTGCAAGGGAGAAAGACAAAATTTAATGTCCTGCTTTCTGGTACAAGACAAGATGATGCAACAACCCCCAGCATGGTCCACCTAAGTCAGGCTGAGAGGACTGAGGACCTAGGACCAGGAGTTAGCTTACAGTTTCATTTTAAAATTGAGTATAATATATATAATTAAATGCATTGGTCTTAGTGGTTTTTTCTTTTTTTTTTAATTTCAACAGGTTTTTGGGGAACAGGTGGTGTGTTTGGTTACATGGATAACTTCTTCAGTGGTGATTTCTGAGATTTTGGTGCACCCATCACCCAAGCAGTGTACACTATATCCAATGTGTAGTCTTTTATCCTTCACACCCCTCCCACCCTTCCCCTTGAAGCCCCAAAGTCCACTGTATCATTCTTTCTTTTTGAGACGGAGTCTCGCTCTGTCACCCAGGCTGGAGTGCAGTGGCGTGATCTCGGCTCACTGTAACCTCACCTCCCAGGTTCAAGCAATTCTCTGCCTCAGCCTCCCGAGTAGCTGGGATTACAGGTGCTTGCCACCAGCTTGGTTTTTCATTCCTGAGTCTCTTCATTTAGCATAATGGTTTCCAACTCCATCTAGATTGCTGTGAATGCCATTATTTCGTTCCTTTTTATGGCTGAGTAGCATTCCACAGTATATATATGCCACGTTTTCTTTATTTGCTTGTTGATTGATGGGCATTTGGGCTAGTTCCATTTTTGCAATTGCAAATTGTGCTGCTATAAACATGTGTGTGCATGTGTCTTTTTCATATAATGACTTCTTTTCCTCTGAGTAAATACCCAGGAGTGGGACTGCTGAATCAAATGGTGGATCTACTTTCAGTTCTTTACGGCATCTCTATTCTGTTTTCCATAGTGGTTGTACTAGTTTACATTCCCACCAGCAGTGTAAAAGTGTTCCCTTTCCACCATATCCACATCAACATCTATTTTTTTTTTTTTTAATATGGCCATTCTTGCAGGAGTAAGGTGGTATTATTGCATTGTGGTTTTGATTTGCATTTCCCTGATAATTAGTGATGTTGAGCATTTTTTCATGTTTGTTGGCCTTTTTTTTTTTTTTCTTTTTGAGATGGAGTCTCGCTCTGTTGTCCAGGCTGGAGTGCAGTGGCGCGATCTTGGCTCACTGCAAGCTCCACCTGCCGGGTTCACGCCATTCTCCTGCCTCAGCCTCCCCAGTAGCTGGGACTACAGGCACCTGCCACCACGCCCAGCTAATTTTTTTGTATTTTTAGTAGAGACGGGGTTTCACTGTGTTAGCCAGGATGGTCTCACTCTCCTGACCTCGTGATCCACCTGCCTTGGCCTCCCAAAATGCTGGGATTACAGGTGTGAGCCACCGCGCCCGGCCAACCATTTATTTTATTATCATTATCTTCTTTTGATAATTGTCTATTCATGTCCTTAGCCCACTTTTTGATGGGATTATTTGTTTTTGTTTTTGTTTTTTTTTCTTCCTGATCTGTTTGAGTTCCTTGTAGATTCTGGATATTAGTCCTTTGCCAGATGCATAGTTTGCGAATATTTTCTCCTACTCTCTGGGTTGTCTGTTTACTCTGTTATTTCTTTTGCTGTGCAGAAACTTTTTAATTTGACTAAGTTCCATCTATTTATCTTTGTTGCATTCACTTTTGGATTATTGGTCATAAAGTCTTTGCCTAGGCCAATGTCCAGAAGTTTTTCCAATGTTATCTTCTAGAATTTTTATGATTTTAGGTCTTAGATTTAAGTCTCTGATATATGTTGAGTTGATTTTTGTATAAGGTGAGTGATGTGGATCCAATTTCATTCTTCTACATGTGGCTTGCTAGTTATCCCAGCACCATTTGTTGAGAAGGGTGTCCTTTTCCCACTTTATGTTTTTGTTTGCTTTGTCAAAGATCAGTTGGCTGTATTTGGCTTTATTTCTGGGTTCTCTATTCTGTTCCATTGGTCTATGTGCCTGGGTCTTAGTGTTTTGCTTGAGGATTTGACAAACGTATATATCTATTTAATTAATCGTCACTTAATCAAAAAACAGAATATTTCCATTAATCCAGAAAGTTTCCATATCTCCCTTTCCAAACAATCGCCACATCTTACTTACTCTGAGGCAAACACTGCTTCTGGTTTCTAGTATCATAGATTAAGTCCATGTAAGTGCATTGCTTAATTGCCAAATAATTGGAGATTTTCTGTATGTTATCAATTACTAATTTAATTCATGGGTGTAGAATATACACCCTGTATGATTCCAATTATTTTAAATTTATTAAGACTTCCCTATATATGTTCTATCTTGATAAACATTTCACATGCACCTGGAAAAGACTCTGTGTTATACAATTGTTGGGTAGTGTTTAGAAAGGCCAACTGGGTCAAGTTGATTTGATATGCTGTTTAAATCTTCTATAGCCTTCCTGATTTTTTGGGGGGGCGGGGAGGTGGTGAAGGCAGAGGCTACTTGCTTCATGAGACCCTGACGGATGAATTTGTGGACTTGGCTATTTCTCTTTTTAGTCAATTTTTGTTGCTGCATGTATTTTGAAGCTGTGTTATTAGGTACATACATATTTAGGAGTATTATTTATTCTTGATAAATAGATGCTTTTATCATTACAAAATATTCCTATTTGTCTCTAATAATATTTCTTGTCTTAAAAGTCTCCTTTGATACTTATACAGATACACCAGTTTTTGCTATGTTTAGTGTTTTGCATAGTATCTCATTTTCCATCCTTTTACTTTTAACCAGTGTCTTTAAAGTTTCTCTCTTGAAAATATCATATAGATAAATCCTGCTTTTTTAATCCAGTCTGACATTAAATGGAGTGGTAACTGTTGATATAGTTGGGATTAACTCTACCATTTTAATAGGTTTTCTACATGCCCCCTTTGTTCCTTGTTCATGCCATTATTTCTCCTTTTCTCCTTTCTTAGAATTAATGGAGTATTTGTATGATTCCGTTTAATCTTATCTACTGGCTTTTGAACTGTACTTTTATTTTTTTTAAGACAGGGTCTTGCTCTGTCACCCAAGCTGCAGTGGTGTGATTATAGCTCACAGTCCCAGCCTCAAATTGCTGGGACTGCATGACCCTCCTGCCTTAGCCTCCCAAGTAGCTGGAACTACAGGTGCACACCACCAAGCCTGGCTTATTATTAAAAATTTTTTTTTGTAGGGACAGGGTTGTGCTGTGTTGCCCTGGCTGGTCTCAAACTCCTGGCTTCAAGCAATCCTTCTACTTTGGCCTCCCAAAGTGCTGGGATTACAGGCATGAGCCACTGCAACTGGCCTGTAAATAGTTCTGGGGGCCTCAAAGTTTAAATTCTCACACATAAAAACTACCCTTAAATCTCAAATCTATACCCAATGAACAACTGGTACGTTCCATTTTTGCTTACACGTTACTAATAAATGCTTAAATTTTACTTCTTAAATTATCTGTTAATTTAAACACTGCCATATTTATTTAAATTTCTGCCTTTGGGGAATTGGTTATTCTTTTAAATCTTCATCAAGAAAAAAAAAATATATATTTATCAATGTCAGCCAATGTATCCACCCAGCAAGAAACTTCAGTGATATGTATCTAGCTTCAGTAAACCACAGTCTGAGACTAAGGAATGCAGAGAAGACGAACTAACAACATTCCCCATTACAAAAAAATTTCCTGCTACCAGCGAAAGGCAATGTGAACTCACCTCCTTGTAAATCAATTTCACCTTTACATTACTTCTATCTCATACATATACACATATATAATATTGCAAGCTTTATATTTAAAATTTATAAATCATCTATAATTTGGATACTATATTGTAAGCTCAAGGGCAGACATGACTTTTCCTTTCTCCAACTTGTAAGAAAGTGCCTAGCAAACAACAGGTGCTTTGGAAAGGTTTGCTGAACTCAGAAAATTAAGCTTCATTAGGATATAGTACAAATAATTTGACAGTGATTGCCAGTGCCTGGATTAAATAAACTTATACCATTGGCCTTGTGAATATTGGCTACCTATTAACGGGCTCTTGAGAATTTTTTAAAGTGTTAAACTTGGTTGCCTAACATCGCCACCATATAACTTTAAGCAAACAGGCAACCAGTGTAAACACATTATTCAATACCACAGAATACCCAGAAATGTTTGAAAGGTGACAAGGAATCCATCTATCCTGCAAAATAAAAGGCAGAAAGCTGCTGAGTAACATCTGTAAACGTTGGAAACTACCATGTTCAGTCAAATACCTCACAAACAGGTCCGGATGTGCAAAAAAGTCTGCATACATTTCTAAAAGAGATCTTCTTTCAAGAATAAACGTTGGAAGAACTACCTGAAAAACATACACATTTGACCCTTGAAGATCAAATTTCTCTTCAGATAAACAGACTAAAAAAAAAAAAAAGAAAACAAAACAAAACACCACCTCATTCAAATCATGGTAACATCCACCACATATTGCCCAGGCATGCTCCAAAAACTAATTCTCAACCTGTCAGATTCAGAAATGACCATTAACCTGCCTAGCAGATCAAAAACAGAGAAAGACTTTTGAATGTTCAAATGTCACTTCCTCTGTGAAACTTCCTTTTTCTCCCTAAGTATAGTAACAACAACAAACTACTCAACAAACTCACTCAGAGGAATCCTTTGATGCCTCCTATCTGCTGGACATTACATATACATTATTTTATTATTTGTATATTACATACATATTATATTACAATAGCCCTATGATGAAGAAATTATTACAGTGAAGAAATATGAAGCTCAGCGTCCCACTATTAATTGTCCCATTATTAATGTGGAATTCAAACTGGATCTGAGTTTGGGGCGTGTGTGCACTTTCTACTGCTGTTGCTCTATCATCATTAGACAAGTGTATAGGAAATACATGATGAGCACCTACAATCCAAGAATTAAGTTTTATTCACACTCGCGCTCTCACTACTATTTACACAGTAAGAAACTTTTAAATGAGCAATTAAAGGAATAAACAAAAAGAAGAAAAGAATACAGACTGGGAACCAACAAACTGGAATACGGGAAGACATGAGAAAGATGATTAACCAATGAAAAAAAGAGAAGAATTTCATTAGAGAATGGGAATGGGAGAAGAGTTTTTGAAATGAGTATCAGATTATCAATTATTCATTACGAAGTAGAACACCCCAGAGTAAGCAAAAATTTCTTAACATTTAGTAATAACTACATATCCACTATATTCAAGGTCCTGTGTTAAAAGCTGTGGTGGAGGCTGGGCATACTGGCTTGTGCCTATAATCCCAGCACTTTGGGAGGCTGAGGTGGGTGGATCACCCGAGGTCAGGAGTTCGAGACCAGCCTGGCCAACACAGTGAAACCCCGTCTCTACTAAAAATACAAAAATTACCTGAGTGTGGTGGCGCACACCCGTAGTCCCAGCTACTCGAGAGGCTGAGGCAGGAGAATCACTTGAACCCAGGAGGCAGAGGTTGCCGTGAGCCAAGATTGCACCACTATACTCCAGCCTGGGTGACAGAGCAAGACCCCATCTCTAAATAAATAAATAAATAAATAAATGCAAGCAAGCTATGGTGGAGACAAAGGTAAGTATGAGAGAATAACAAGAGCATTTAAATTGTAGGTGGAATGTGACAAACATCATACAAGAATGCTCTAAGCACCCTGGAAGTTCAGTTCAAGGAAAGATCATGCTCTGTTTGGGGGAACAGAATGAGGGCAGAGCTGGGAAACAATTTATTGAGGTGGCACTAGAGAAAAGCCTTAAAGAAGAGTAAGGCTGTGATAAAAGAACAAGACATGGAGACGGGAGAAAAAAAAAAAGACAAGGAAAGGATAGGAAGAGGGGTGTGACAGGGATTAATCAGTGAACCAGTGTGGCTGGACATATAATGAAAATATAAAGTGGGCTGATGAACACAAGCTTGGAAAGGGACACTAAGACTGTAACACTTAGAATCTCTATTATCAGACTCTCAGCATTTAAATTTTAGGTAAACATTTTTCTTCCACAGAACATGTAAATTCATAATCCAAATAGGGTTAGATTAGCAGGGAAGCTTATATACTGCCTTGGTACAACTTCTTACCACTTTAGATAACGCAGAATTATAAACCACCGAGTAAAAATGCTGAAGAAGAAAACATGGATAAATACCTTTAATGTATAAACAGCTCTTACAACTCAAGATGAAGATCACTACTCCAGTAGATAAATGGACAAAGGAACTGAACAGCCAAAAAACATTTTTAAAAAGTTTAATTTCACACGTAATTTAAAAAAAATAAATATTTTTTTCTTCTACTTAGGATTTTTCTGAGAACTCTTATTTAACAGATTTTCTTCAATGTTTGTAGTGCTATACTGATACATGCTATTAAGTCAAACTGCTGTAACAGTGATGAAGAGAGCTGGGTTTAGCTGTCTTCAACCTGGGTTCAAGAGCTTGTTTAGCCTCTTCTTAGCTGTGAGGAGGCCCTGAAAAATTAACTCAATTTCTCTAAGTACCTGAAAAGGAAGATAATTACATGCCCTGCTTATATGTTAGGGTTCTTTTATTTTAAAGACTGAGTGAGGTTAAATGGGATGTGACTGTGTAGTATTTTTAAAAACTACAAAGTATTTGGAAAACAAACTCTTTTTGGAAAGTATCTGAAGTGAGAAAACATTCTTATAAAAGACACAAATTTAAGGCATTATTGTAACAATACTTTGGAATGCATAAAAGGAACCAAGATTTCAGAATCTGTTGGCAATCACAGCCATTTGTGCCAATAAAAATTTCAAAAATGACTTATTTTAAACACATTCAGTAAAAAATAATTATGATAATATCATTTATAATATAACAAGCTTTTAGCAGCTATGGACTCAAATATGGTTTATTTGGCAGAGAAAATTATGTGAGGCAAGAATTACAAACTTGATTGTGGCAAATACATCTGGTTGCCTCTCCCCATCCATGCTTCACCCCCAAGAACTCTGATTCAGTTCAGGTTCAGCTGTGGGCTGCCATGGCCTTCTCTTCCACGTCTCAAGGGGTGAATGTGGATTCATTTAAACCAATCATTTAGCCTCCCCCTTGCCAGTGGCAGGTTTAGGCACGAGCATATGCCTGATACTGGCCAATGAGATTCAACAGGAAGCCTAATGAGCCACTCCTGGAAAACAACGTCCTTCCTAACAACAACAACAACAACAACAACAACAACAACAACAACGCCAGCAGCTGTACAATCTAATGATTACTGAAGCAATTCCGGGGACAAACTCCTGCAAATGTTCTCCTACCTAGAACATTCCTAGTAAGTGTGTTGGGCTCCACAAATAAAAGTTGTCCTTGTGTCTCTGTTCTCACTTAGATTAGGGGTAAAAGGTTTTATTACAGACACTTACTTGAAGGTATTATGAATTAGTCTTTTTCTTAATGGCCCTCTAAATCCAAAACAAAAAGGAGTTCACTACTGACAAAGACTATAACACTGGAATTGATTTTGCCCTAACAAAAGTGAGAACTCTAAATTTAATCAACTCCCCAAAGCTCGGCAGAACAATAATCAATATGAAAGTTAATACAGTTCAAGCCTTCAAGACAAAGGCAGTAGTGGAAAGATTACAGGTTTTAAAATCATGGAGCAGATTAGAATCTCAGTCTGCCACTTAATATGACTTAACACGACTCAGCCACATTACTTAACTTCTGAGTTTTAGTTTCCTGATGAAATGAAGTTAATAACACCTACTCTGTGGTACTGTGGTGAGAATTAAGTGAAAGGAGGGGGTTTTCTAGCACAGTGGCAGGAATATACAAAGGCACCCATACACCAGTCTCCTAATTCAAGCATGCATTCTGTTGAGAGCTCCAAGTTTAAATTCAAATTCAAATCCAGACTATGGTAATTTTGCATGACTCAATATGTGTCATTTTGCGTGCCTGTAGTCCCAGCTACCAAGGAGGCTGAGGCAGGAGAATCGCTTGAACCTGGGAGACAGAGGTCACAAATATGTCACAATTTTACATTTACTACCTCTTCCAATCCTTACAATAACCCTCTGAAACAGGTTACTATGTGTCCAATTTGCATAGAGAACCCTGAAGTCCACAGAGGAAGAAACAGAAGAAACTCACTGAAGACCGTGCGTGGTTTGCTAATATTAGAGGTAGGACGAAAACACAGATCCTCTGACCCTAAGATTAGAACTCTACCAAATCTTAATCCATACAACTCATACACACTGTTCTCTATGAAATTATCCTAGCTTGACTTATTTCATCATTTATAAAATTTTGTTTACTTATCTACATCTATATTAAATCACAAGAAGACACAGGTATAAAAAGAAATTATGTCATTTTACTACATTTGCAGGCACACTCACCACGCAATCACTGAGAATCCATACATACCCACACAGACTTACAGCAAATTTGGTCTTACCTTAGTAAGATCCATTCCAAGTCTAACCTGCGACAAGAGATGCATGATAACGCTCTTGTGCTCCTCCACAGACCCTGCCTCCGCATCATCATCTCTGTCATCATGTGAATCAAACAGGTCTAAAATAAAGCAGATCTTATTAGAATGGTGCTAAATTGGGCCAATCTGTCCTGATACTAGAATTACAATTTTGTTTGTTTGTTTGTTTGAGATGGAGTCTCATTCTTTCGCCCAGGCTGGAGTGCAATGGCACGATCTTGGCTCACTGTAAACCTCCATCTTCCAGGTTCAAGCAATTCTCCTGAATCAGCCTCCTTGGCAGCTGGGATTACAGGCACGCACCACCATGCCCAGCTAATTTTTTGTATTTTTTTAGTAGAGATGGGGTTTCACCATGTTGGTCAGGCTGGTCTTGAACTCCGGACCTCAAGTGATCTGCCCACCTCGGTCTCCCAAAGTGCTGGGATTACGGCATGAGCCACCACATCTGGCCACAAATATTTTTAAAGAAAAAAAAGTTAAATTATCAAAGGTCACTTACCAGCATCACTTGTTCCATTGGACAAGGAAGAATTAAGTGATTCTGTGGTATCTGGGCGTTTTAGACTATTTCCCGAGCTGCTGTGTGTCAGGACTGAGGCAGATCCAGAAGAACTATAAAAACATTAATTACCTTATTTAAGCTAAAGAAAGCAATTTAGAATCATAGTAAGCTAGACTCGTACAGTTAGCTGGTTACATGCATGCATATATATGCTTTAGAATTCTCTTGATGACAAGGTCTCTTGTCTTATCCTTTATGCACAGGATGTGCTCAACAAAGCCATGTTGATAGTCAAGACCTAGAAGTCATCAAAAATTAGTGAGATCTTTGCCTCTGCATTTAAGTTTAAAACTAGAGTTCCTTTTATGATTTTGTTACTGGGTATAAATCTAAATATGTCACAATTCTTGGCAACAATTCCAGAAACGGCAAGTCTCAGAAACATGTCTTGTCTTTATGTTTGAGATCCTTTAATAAAAGCCCACATTGGTATTAACACTCTTCCTAATCATTAAAAAACTGTACTTGAAATTATAAAATAAAAAAACATCTTATTTATGCAAGTAAATTCATGCTAACTGGCTTTTATGAGCCAGTTAACAGGTCTAAAGAAAGATTATTCTATTATTAATAGATTATCATACCTGTGATCATAATTTACCGATGGAAGTGTGTGTGTGTGCGCGCACACGCACGTATATTTATATTTTTCTTAAGAGACAAGGTCTCCTTATGTTGCCCAGGATGGACTCGAACTCCTGGCCTCAAGTGATCCTCCCACCTCAGCCACCCAAGTCACTGGGTTTACAGGTGTGAGCCACCACACCCAGTTGGTATTTGTATATAAATAAAGGAAAAATAAAAAAGGCACACAATTTACTTATTAAATGTAAAAATTGAAATCAAATTTCTCACGCTTTAGATATTTATAAAACAGTACACATGAGTCTTATTACAACTCTACACGTGCGAAAACATGTATTCTAATCTAATCATAATTTGCCCTTGTTACTTAACTTCTTTTAATTTTTTTAAATTAATAAACTTTATTTTTAGAGCAGTTTTAGGTTCATGGCAAAACTGAACAGAAAATATAGACAGCATGCATACATTCCCTGTCTCCACACCTGCAAACCTCCCTCATGATCAACATCCCATACCAGAGAGGTATATTTCTTACAACCAATGAGCCTACATTGACACATCATTATCACTCAAAGTCTACAGTTTATATTAGGGTTCACTCTTGGAGTTGCCTGTTCTATCGGTTTTGATAAATATATGACAACATGTATCCACCATTGTATCATACAGAATAGTTTCACTGCTGTAAAAATCCTCTGGGCTCTGCCTGTATTAGAACACTAGAATATTAGGATATTCTAAAATTAGAATATATTATGTTATTCTAGTTTGCCCTGGTTACTTACCTATTTTTCAAAATTTCTTGAGTAACTAAGTATTACTTCTTTGATTATTTAGTAGTATATATCACAAGGTATTATAACTAATGTCCACCTCACCAGTTTTGAGAGGCAATGGAAAATATGTCTAAAAGATACAGGTAAGAGAAATCAAATGATCATTAAATGACAGAACTGGGGCCAGGCATGATGGCTCACGCCTGTAATTCCAACACTTTGGGAGGCCAAGGCAAGAGGATCACTTGAGCCCAGGAGTTTGAGTCTAGCCTGGGTAACATGGTGAGACCCCATCTCTACAAAAAATAAAAAATTAGGCTGGGCATGGTGGCTCAGGCTTGTAATCCCAGCACTTTGTAAAGCCAAGGTGGGCAGATCACTTGAGGTGAGGAGTTCAAGACCAGCCTGGTTAACATGGTGAAGCCCCATCTCTACTAAAAATACAAAAAGTTAGCCGAGCGTGGTGGCATGCGCCTGTAGTCCCAGCTACTTTGGAGACTGAGACATGAGAATCGTTTGAACCTGGGAGGTGGAGGTTGCAATAAGCCGACATCGCACCTCTGCACTCCAGCTCCAGTTTGGGCGACAGAGTGAGATTCTGTCTCAAAAAAAAAAAAAAAATTAGCTGGGCATGGTGGTGTGTGCCTGTGGTTCCAGCTACTGGGGCGGCTGAGGTGGGAGGATCACTTGAGCCCATGAGGTTGAGGCTATAGTGAGCTGTGTTCGTGCCACTGCACTCTAGCCTGAGTGATAGAGTGAGACCCTCTGTCTCAAAAAAAAGCATGAAAGTTACCTTTAAAATGCTTTGTGCCTCTGTGATGTATCTCAAAATAGAGTCAATCTTTTAAATCAATTGACCTAAAAACCCCAAATCCTATAACATATGAATCTTATTTTAGATGTAATTTCAAAGGTCCTATTTATGCTGTGTTTTTTCTCCTTACCCATGATTAGAAACCATGTCTGAGCCAAGTGAAATACTCAGTAAGACTGTAAATTGAAAAAAAATGGGATAAATTTTCAGCCATTTCATAATTTACCTTGTTCAGAACAAATGATATAAAGAAAACAGTTAAAAACAACACCTATGTATACAGGAAAGTTTTATCTGCAATGGGCTAAGTTGTCTAGAATTTAGGCATAAAATCATAAAGTATGCAAAAACAATTTAAAGCTATGAATTATAATAATAATTTATCGAGTACCTTGTATGCACCATACACGGTATGTCTATATCTACATTACAACCCTAAGGAAAACACAATGACGCTCATAATACACAGACGCTCGGAGGTTCAATGACTGGTCTGAAGTCATACAGCTGGTGAGTAGTGGAGCCATTTCAAACACGTCTGGCTCCAAAGTACAAGTTCTTTCCAACATGTACTTTTATCTAATTTATAAATGTGTAAACTACAGTGCTCAGTGCCATAGTTACACAGAAGCTATCATTAGTATAGGTCTTTAGAAAAAGAACAGTGAAAGGACTTAAGCTTTCAAGTTCTCTTCCTTCAGAAAGAGAAAAACAAAAAATAGTAAAAAGAAATTTGACCTCAGTTAGAAAATCAGCAGTAGCAGCTGATGACCAGCAGGTGTCACAAGCTCAAATAGCTACAGATGCCAGGCAGAGAATATGTGGATAGGACCAAGACATAAGATATATATGGAACTGGGGAGTCAGCATACCCAACCTGAAAGAATCTAAAGCCTTGTTAAAACAAAACAAAAAACAAGTCAACAGAACACTGTGCTGCCCAAATAAAACATCTGCAGTCCTTACTGGTTTGGGCTTCTAGATTAGAATATACAAACAAGGAAGAGTGAAATTGAGGGAGAAAAGGAACACAGAGTGGGTTAGTTGGACATAAAAACTTAACTCTGGACCCTTTCAAAGAGATGTTCATGAACTGTGTGTTTATTATGGGACAGGGTACTGGGAGAGCATAGAAGGAACCTTAACAGCAGGAATAGAAGAAGCCCATGAGCCTGTGCATGACTTTGTAGACCTGCCTATTACAGGTACAACAGGTGTTTTAAATGTTTCGATTTCATAGAAATTTTGGGAGAATCCCTCAAAACGGAGCCAGAGAGTGTCTATCAGTGATGTTACCAAGAGCTAACCACATATTATCAAGCTTTTACTGAATACAGTCATATGCTTTTAAAGGATGGATACATGAGTGATTTACTAGCAAGTGACATTCAATTGCACTTTTTTAGAACAATAGCTAATGTATTGTCTTTAGGCCAGGTGCAGTGGCTCATGCCTGTGATCCCAGCACTTTGGGAGGCCGAGGCAGGCGGACAGCCTGAGGTCAGGAGTTCGACACCAGCCTGGCCAACATGGCAAAACCCCTCCTCTACTAAAAGTACAAAAATTAGCTGGGCATGGTGGTGGGCACCTGTAATCCCAGCTATTCAGGAGGCTGAGGCAGGAGAATTGCTTGAACCCAGGAGGCCGAGATTGCACCATTGCACTCCAGCCTGGGCAACAAGAGCAAAACTCCGTCTCAAAAAAGGCTGGGCGCGGTGGCTCATGCCTGTAATCCCAGCACTTTGGGAGGCCGAGGCGGGCTGATCATGAGGTCAGGAGATCGAGACCATCCTGGCTAACACGGTGAAACCCCGTCTCTACTAAAAATACAAAAAACTAGCCAGGCGTGGTGGCGGGCGCCTGTAGTCCCAGCTACTCGGGAGGCTGAGGCAGGAAAATGGCGTGAACCCGGGAGGCGGAGCTTGCAGTGAGCCAAGATGGCGCCACTGCACTCCAGCCTGGGCGACAAAGACTGTGTCTCAAAAAAAAAAAAAAAAAAAAAAAAAAAGACGGTCTTTAATTCTCTTTTAAATAAAATAATGACTGAACCCTTCAAAAATTAATAATAACCTTTCATTTTCGAATTTTCTTCCAAATGCTTATTTTCTTTTAACCCCATTATTATAAAAACTTTTTTTCCAAAATTAAATTTCTATTGGCAAACTGCTAACAATGGTTTCTCAATAGTTTATGTTTTAACATTCAAAATGAAAAAAAGAAACCAATATGCTAAACTAAGCCCTTTCTGCTACACTGGCCTTCTTTAGTTGTAGATTTAAACCTCCCTTCCACGTCTTAACTATATATATTCACCTAGACCACATAGGACTGGCTGAAGGTAATTGGCTTGCAAATTTACATTTAATTATTTCCAAATTTGTACTGTGTTAAAAAGCAAAAACCCTAGCTATAGTAACAGTATAGTAACAGTCCCCTGAGAAAGCAGAATTAGAAGTAATTCCCAACAAAAACTAAGCTATTAATACATCTACAACAAACACAAGTAAAATGAAAGTAAATCAGTAATTCTACTTCTTTTTTTTTTTTTTTTAAGACAGAGTCTCACTCTTGTCACCCAGGCTGGAGTACAGCAGCCCAATCTCGGCTCACTGCAACCTACACCTCCTGTGTTCAAGAGATTCTCCCATCTTAGCCTCCCGAGTAGCTAGGACGACAGGCGTGTGCCACCACACTCAGCTAATTTTTGTATTTTTTTAGAGACAGGGTTTTACCATGTTGCCCAAGCTGGTCTCAAACTCCTGGGCTCAACTGATCCTCCCACCTCAGCCTCCCAGATTGCTGAGATTAGGGGCATAAGCCACCACACCTGGCTCCCTAAACTGTTTTTGTTGTTGTTGTTTGTTTGGAAACAGAGTCTTGCTCTGTTGCCCAGGCTAGAGTGCAGTGGTGTGATCTCAGCTCACTGCAACCTCCGCCTCCCAGGTTCAAGTGATTCTCCTGCCTCAGCCTCCTGAGTAGCTGGAATTTATAGGCATGTACCACCATGCCTGGCTAATTTTTTTTTTTTTTTGGTATTTTTAGTAGAGATGGTTTCACCATGTTGGTCAGGCTGGTCTCGAACTCCTGACCTCATGATCTGCCAGCCTCAGCCTCCCAAAGTGCTGGGATTACAGGCGTGAGCCACCACACTTGGCCTCCCTAAACGTTTTTAAATAAAATTAGTGCCTTAAAGCCAGTGCAGAGAGACAGATTTGAGGTGGACTTCCATTTCCCTGTAAGTAGACTTGCAATAAAAAGCTTTTCTTTCCTCAAAAACCTGGGACTTAGTAATGGCTTCTAGCACATTGGGCAGCAAGCCCCTTTTGCTCCATAACACTGTAGGAAATAAATTTCTGTTGTTTATAAGCTACCTAGATTACTGTATTTTGTTATGGCAGCTTAAAGGGACTAAGATACCATACCACGTATTTCATTAGATTATAAATGTCTGCCTATTCCCCCAAAAGTTCCCTGTGGGCAGGGCCTGGATCTTTGTAACCTTGATATCAACCTAGCACAGTGCCTGGCTGATAGGTGTTGAATATTTCCACTCTAATTAAAAAAAGAAAAAAGTAATAGAAACCTCTTATTTGTATAATGCTTCATAGCTTATTCACTCTCATTGGACCCTCTCCTAATGTTGGTACTGTAGAAACGGCCAGGGTTCAACTAATAACGCTGGCACATTACTATAGGTGATGCTATTTATTCCACTTGGATTAACTTAGGACTAAAATCAAAACTCTCACAGAACTGGCTTTGCTCAATAAGCCAACCAAAAACAAGTTGTCCATACAACTATTATACATCAATAAAAAAACTTCTATTAAAAAGGTTGCCCTTTTAATTTTCCCAAATAATAACTGATGAGGCAAGTCTGTCATTAACACTAGTCTCAAAATCAAATTAGATTTTTAAAAATCAGGAGAATCATTTAAATACATATTCTGTTCATCTACTCACTCTATTAAGCGCTTTGGGGATGAGCCACTTTGATGGAATTCATCAGCATCATAAAATTCATCTTCACTGCTGGAGTAAGAGAACTCTGGGACTGTATTTGGAGACAAGTTCACGTGGCTTGGAGAAGTGAGACTGCTACTCGGTGGTGAATGGCCACTGCCTAGGAAGTTAAAAGGGTTTTAGAGAAAAATATTGGTGAAAGAGAAGAAACTAGGGAGATGGAGTCAAAGCAGACTTTTCTAAAATCAAAAAAGAGTTTGGTTAAGTTTGTAAAAGTCGCTACAGTATTTATAAAGAAAATCAACATTTAAACTCCACACAGAAAATGGCAAATCATGATATAAAATGAGGACACAGCCTTTTAAATAAATGAAACAAAAAGCTATGTCCTCATTCTATAATTAAAGATTATCATTAATACTAGGAAGGGGGCCCTTTTGATTATATGAGTTGTGGAGTTGCAAGTCCAACAACAGATATGATTACAATGGGATGCCGGGACTCTTATTTTACACTGCAGATCCAGATACCTAAAAATGCAGCAGTGAGCCACTGGGAATGCAAAATGAAAAGAATATTAAGACCACATAAACATTAAAATATTGCAGGATATCACATTCCTATCATTCAATATTTTTTGGCAATCACATGGAAAATACACACACCATCCAAATTCCTCTCCTCTTTTCCACCTAAGTCAGGGGCTCAGAGGTGGAGATAAAAATAGAGGACTACGATGAGAAGAATGCAGAAAATGAAAAGATTCAGAAGAACATTTTTCTATTCCTAAATAGTCTAACTAAAGAAATGGAAATTAATGAAGACCCAGACAAAGAAGCCTGCCATCTAATCTCTGAGATGATCATCTGGTACCTTATCTACTAGTAAAGCAAGAACAAAAAAGTATCAAACCAATCGACAAATGGAGTATTAAGATCAATTTAACTTACTGAGCATTTAAGGGCTGTCAGTCAGGCAATTTATACTAATCTACAGATGTCTGGTGAAGACTAAAGTTTATTAAGACACTGATGGCAATCTGAAAGCCAGGGCCACAGTTCTGGAAGAAATTGAAGACAGCAATAAAAATGAATCCAGGCTAGGCACAATGGCTCATGCCTGTAATTCCAGCACTTTGGGAGGACCAGTTGGGAGGACTGCTTGAGGCCAGGAGTTCAAGACCAGCCTGTGCAACAAAGTGAGAGCCCCATCTCTTAAAAAAATAGATAAATAAATTAGCTGGGCATGGTGGCATGTGCCTGTGGTCTCAGCTACACGACAGGCTGGGGCAGGATCACTTAATCTGAGGAGGTCGAGGCTGCAGTGAGTTGTGTTTGTGCCATTGCATTACAGCCTGGGTAAACAGAGTGAGACCTTGTCTCAAAAAAAAAAAAAAAAGAATCCAGAGTCACTTACGGATTTTTTGCCCATTCCTATATGTATGGTTCAATAGTTGTGAAAAAAAGCACATCAGTTTGCCACATTTAGTCATCATATTCACAAAGGTATTTTAAAAAGATAACACAAAAAGTTTAACCCCTAAAAGGTAATGCTTATTTTGGAAATTCCAAAGGTAGCTCACCTTATTAGTAAATAACTTCATATTCTTTTTATTACCCAACAGAAAAAGTAAGAGAGAAAAGCAGCTTTTTCTTATTGGAATAAAAAAAAAATTGATCAAGAATTGCAAATGATTAAGTAGCATGCAAATATTCCAGGTGATCACACAAGTGAAACTGTATCTAAGAAGAAAAGTTTGAGTGGGAACTGCAAACAAAAGATCTGAGATTTACTTAGGAGAGCAAACATTTTATCTTATTCCTTTATTTCTTTTTTGTATTAACAAGAGAAGTAAGGGAAAGAAAAGTGGAGAAAATGAAGTTAGGATGAAAAATCAAATAAGATATAAATCACAGGAATTTAATTTTAAATTTTTCTTTAAATCTACTCTAAAGTGTTAGATTTTTGAAATACCTTCAACTGAAATAGTTTTCAGAAGATTATCTTCTGGAAGTAATTTTTACAAAAATTAATATACATAAGAAGAGCTTCTCACTTTCTCAAAGTCTGTTGCTAGTTTTACGTATTTCCAAACAGAAAAATTTTGGAATTTTGGTTGTTTCAAAATTCCAACATAAAAATACGAACAACAACAAACAGGTACTATTTTTTAAATGAAGAAGAGGTGACACAGCTCAGGAAATACAGAAGTCAGCCAAAATATTTCAATTTCATTATTCAAATTGCTTATCAGCCTTTTCCCAAGAGCTTCAAGTAAGAGAGCTATTTTTTTTCTTTCAAAATTCAAAGGCAACTGCCCATGCTGTTAAATAGTAAAGATCAAAGTAATAGCATCAGTACTTTTACTAATTCGAATTTTTTAAATCACAGGGTAATTATTCATCATTACACAGGAAAAATCCTACCCGGGAAAAAAATCTGAGGATGAACAAAAGGGGCTGATCTCCCACTTCTTCAAGAGTGGTTTTGGTTTTGGTTTCCAGGTTTAACAGTGTGAAAAGTGCTAGATGCTTCCTTGAGTTTGGTTCTACAAGTTATTCAACATACATTTAATTAATTTTAAAACAAGATAAATCTAGTATCTAACACTGATAGTATCCCTGTAAAACAGAGAAAAAATAAAGACCCTAAGCCTAAACGAATTAAGAAAATGCAGGCTGGGCGCGGTGGCTCACACCTGTAATCCCAGCACTTTGGGAGGTGGAGGTGGACAGATCACCTGAGGTCAGAAGCTCGAGACCAGCCTGGCCAACATAGTGAAATGCCGTCTCTACTAAAAATACAAAAATTTGTGGGGCGTGGTGGCGCACATCTTTAATCCCAGCTACTCAGGAGGCTGAGGCAGGAGAATCACCTCAACCCAGGAAGTGGAGGGTGCAGTGAGTCGAGACAGTGCCACTGGACTCCAGCCTGGGCAACAGAGTGAGACTCCATCTCAAAAACAAAAAACAAAACGTTTAAACAAACAAAAAGAAAATGCAAATTAAAATGAAGTATCTTTTTTCTAACTATAAAACTGGCAAAAAGGTGAAAGACTGATAAATGTTTTCTAAAAAAATATACATATGCCAAAGGTGCTGTACAAGGATATCACTGAAGTATTGCTTCCATCAGTGGAAAAAACAAGCAATACCTGCCCAGGCAGCTGTAAAAAGAATGCTGTAGACCTAATTTTACAAACATGGAAAGTGCTCTAAGTGTTCTTTGTTAAAGGAAAAACGCAAGTCACAGAAACACATAACCTAAGTTAGGTTTAAACAAAAACAATAAAAATACACGACATAAGTGTATATGCACATACATGTATGCAAATTACTGGGGGGAGAGTAAAGAGGACTTGCAGTTTTTATTCTGTGCACTTCTGTGTCAGCTTCATAATAAGAAAGTATGCAAGTCTAGCTGGAGTAAATTTTTCAAAAAGTCAACATAGATCACCAAATAAATGTTAAGGTAACAAACAAACAAAACTCTGTAATATTTTATTTTATTTAAATTATTCCAGGCATGGTGCCTCATGCTTGTATAATCCCAGCACACTGGGAGGCTGAGGCAGGAAGACTGCTTGAGCCCAAGAGTTTGAGACCAGCCTGAGCAACATAGGGAGACTCCTCTCTACAAAAATTAAAAATCAGCCAAGTGTGGTGTGTGTGCCTGTGGTCCCAGCTACTTGGGAGCCTGAGGCCTGGGAGGTCAAAACTACAGTGAGCCCTGATCGTACCACTGCACTCCAGCCTGAATGACAGAGTGAGACCCTGTCTCAAAAATAAAAATTTTAAAAACTTAAAAATAAATAAAACTTAACTAAAGCTTCTCTTTCAAACACAAAGCTAACCACTTCATGTATGGAACTATAATGTTAAAACTAACATATCTCCAACAGAAAATATACAACACATTTCTTCAACTTTCCCCCTCCTCATCAGAGGTCACAAACAAACCTCAAATGTTAATAGAGTTATGAGACATAAAGAAATTATGCAAATCTGTACCTGTACTATTTGGTGTAGGAGTCTGATGATGTCCCAAGGTAGCCAACACAGGTCCAACTGGTAGGGAAGATGGACGCTGCTCTGACTTACACAACTGAACAGGTTCTAGGAGATTTGAACGTATAAAATAAGGTACAGAAACAGCCAAACACACATTCTATTGACTGTAATTGTCTGGGATTCAAAATCCTAAAGGCCAGTAATTTTTGAAACTTTATTTCATTAAGTCTAGTTCCATGCTACTCCTTCCTTTTGACTTCCTAGCCTCTTAAACTCAATGATGATAGGCTACAGAGTACTAAGATACCAGGCAGGATATCAAAAAACCAGCCACAGTAGGCCAATACTGCAGTATAACTATGCTGTAAAACCAACAAATGCTTCTGATGATAATGTGTTTCTGAGCCTCAAACCACAAAAAATCTGAAGTGGAGTACAGTACCTGTTCCTCTTTAGCCCCAAGAGGTAGTTTAAGCTAATTCACTTAAGAAGTAAAAACTCACAAAAGGATTTCACATACTTACTAGTACTTTTAAAAAGAGTTTTCCATTTTACAGTACAATTTCTGACTTCACTATGCCATCGAGAACATAGAAATGTTGGATATAACAAAAGGGCAAAAGGAATCAGTCAGTGTAGCTAGGTATTGGCCCTGAGCCCTTCTTTGCCAGTTTTTAAAAAATTGCATGTATTGCTTTATACAAAAAAAAAAAAAACAAAACAAAACCCAGATGTCATGTGATCAGTAGGCATCATAAATTTCCCTCTTCACTTTCTCATTATCTTAAAATCTACCATGAACATACCATTTGTATTGTTCAGAGCTACACAGAATACCCCAAAACGGAACATCCCTGGATTATCCAGAATAAGGTATAGTAATTTTTCCTCGCTAGCCATGAATTCTGAGTCATAGAATCCTGTTCTACCAGTGAATCCAAATCGTAGTAACCAAGTTTGTTTTCTATCTCACTTTGAATAACAAAACCACTTTCATCACACTTCAGTAAAGCCCCAATATCAAAACATTATCATCTTTTTTCAGTTCACTTTTGGCTGTATTATTTTTTGAGTGCTTTTATTAAAAACAAGGAAAATCAAAAATAAACAGTAATAGCTAAGACTGCTATGACAGCCACACAAATTATTTTTTTCTCATCAATGAATCTAAGAAACATTTTCCCAAATTACCTGGAGGTAACACAGTCTGGGAAGGCATTGTGCTGATCACAGGTTCCAAAGGACTAGGTTGATATATTGCATCTACGGGATTAATAGTACTCTAAAATAAAGAAACACAATATAGCTATTTTTAATTAAATGCTCTTCTCATGCTACCCTCCCAAATGCCCACATTTATGACTTCAAAATCCTGAGGGTAGCTATATAGATATGTTGATCAAAATGAAAAGAGGGAATGAAACACCTTTTCTATACAGAAGTGTAAGAGTTGCTTAAAGCATAGTAAGGAAAGACAATGAATGAATCTCTGTCACAGAAGAAGGTAAAGCTAAATGGAAAAACTGAGGAGTTATAAAATGGTGTGGGGAGATTTCAGGAAGTCAAAACCACCTCTCAATTCAATTCGGTGCTTCTCAATCTCTTAATTCACCACAAATATTGTTTCTCTGTTTTTTTCACTTTTGGTGAGTTACACCAAATGTCCAACTGATGTACCTGCACCACTAGGATCTCATCTTTCCATCCCATACTGCTGCTATCACACAGTACAGTCACTCCTCAGGTATCCAGGGGGACTGGTTCCAAGCACCCCCCGAGGATGCCAAAATCCACAGACACTCAAGTCCCTGATAAAATATCGTGTAGTATTTGCATACAACCTACACATACGCTCCCATATAAGTTAAATCATCTCTAAATTACTTATGACACCTAATATTATGTAAATATTATATAAATCACCATTATACTGTATTGTTTAGGAAATCATGACAAGGAAAACAGTATATACATATTCAGTAAAGAGGTACTTTTTTTTTCCTCAAATATTTTGAATCCATGGTTGGTTGAATCCACAGATGCAGAAGGCTGACTGTGTGTCTAGTTTTATGGTCACTAAAGAGAAAGAGATGCATCTTCTAACTGGGGAGTGTAGAGAAGAGGGCTTGCTTTCTGAGGATTCAGAAGAGAGGGAGAAAAATTCAGACATGTAGTTAATTTTAGAGGGGAGAAAAGTCTAGGATTCTCTGATTCTAAGTCAAGAAATTATTCTGACAGCATGAAGGCATTTTAAAAAGAAAACTCCATAGGGCAGCAGGGGGGTGCGAGTGTGTACATGTTAAACCAAAGTCTTTGCCACAGCAAAGTTTACATTTACCATTTAGAAGACTAAACTGGGCAAACCCAAGAAATAAAAATGTAAGTTCTTTACCTTTAATTGATCTGGAAAACTGAACTTCACATATATATTAAGTAGTGCTTATAACAGAAGATACTAAAACAGAAATATAAGGGAAATACTTTGCCAATAAATAAGCCCAAAAAAGCAGTTGTAAAAACTTAAAATCACCTAATAATAGAAACTGAGGTAATGGTAAAGTTTTTGTAGCATTCTCACGTAATATCTAAGTTAAAAATTTTTTTCCAGGCCATGTGAAAAACAAACATACACTGTGTTCAGGACTGTTAAAGAAAATTTAAAACCAAAAAAACCCAGCCCTCTTTCTGCATGAATATCTAAAACTCATTAAATAAGGTCTTTTCGATCAAGTGACTTGAACACAGGAATTCTGATTCTTGTCACTAAAATAGTTTATCTGCCACAAATACTTTAACTGAAAAATGAAGGACACTTAGAGAAAACACCCCCAAAACAATCAGTAATAATTAAAAAAAAAAACAACTAAGAAACTGAAGTGGGGAATGTTTTGAAGCACTGAGAAAAGCAAAGAAACAGAGACTTGGAGTTTTTAATAGCTTAGAATCTTTAAGTCTCTTATCCTCTATGGGCCTCAGTTTCCCGGTCTGCAAAATAAAAAGTCTGTATTTACATGGGTGCTAAGGGTTTTCTGGTTATTACTTTGATTCTATTTTCAGATACTAGACCAAGCCATAATAACTAAACAAGTATCTCAACAAACATGGAGTTGTTCTTAAAATAAATTCCTTGTTTACACAGCGCTTTTCTCGAAAATAACTCCAAATGCTTTACAAAGACAAAATTCCACCATTAACGCTTTGATATATAGCAGTGAGAATATGTCACACCTCCTTACCCCTCCCACTGAAGGGAATAAGAAATAAAATAACTTTGGAACAAGGGACCAGAATTCTCTTTTGGATGTAATCTTTTATTTTCCAGATGAAACGTTCTTACAATTAGGCTGGTCAACCAAAGAAAACACTTAAAAACTTTGTGCACTGTTAAACAAAAATTATGAGAGGCCACTGTTTTGGACTGAGCTCTTGTACTAGGGCCCAACAGATTAGACCAAACCAAAATGGAGTCACTCTTGTTAAATGCCGTATCATTAAACTCTAAGGAAGCAAGTGGATCCCAAAATAGACCAGGTTTTTTTTTTTTTTTCTGAAAATAGGAGATTCCAGTCTACCCGAATCAGTGTAATACGGAAATGCTCACTGTTTTAACCCTTAAAAGAAAAGTAATCTGATGTTAACCAATCAGCATTTTTTCCTGTTACAGTTCTCACCTTACAAAACCCACTGCTTTGCCACTGCCCAGTGAGACCTCTCATTCTATTTTGTAGAATGGAGGCTGATCCGATTCATGCATCTTGAATAAAAGCCAATTAGATCTATGATTAAATTTGTTGTAATTTTGTCTTTTGACAACATGTATATTAAAAGTACTCAATCTTTTTGTTATTGTTTTTGATAGAAAAAATAACTATGCTACACTTATCCACAGTCCTTGGTCAGCCAACTTCAGGCTCAAATATGTCACATTACATTCTACAACTTGCTTTAAAAATAAATGTGCAGAACTTGAGAAGCAAAAATAATACTACTCAGCCCTAATCTGTTTTGACATTAATGAAACCCACGTAATACAATGTATTGCACATACACATACATGTACATATAGCTAACATTCATTGAATACTATGCGCTTGTTCTGTACCTTACAACAAACTTCTAAGGTAGAACATTTCAGCTTTCTTTACAGGAAAAGAAATTAAGACTCAGAAAGGTTAAGTAATTTGCCAAGGTCACAGGTAGTGAGTGGCAGGGCTATTTTATTTGAACCCAAGCAGCCTGCCTCTAAGGCCTATTCCATGAATAGTTCCTCTATTTTTTCAAAATAAAAATTCTTAAGGAAAATATGCTCTAGTCCCTGGGCAAATGATTCAAAGATATTTTTCTATTAGGTTAAATTTTCTATGAGTATAAACTTTCTAGATGTTTTTCATTGCAAATGATCAAGTGTTTTTGGTATGTTTTATAAAATCCTGCCTGTTTTATTTAACATAATATAACTAATTTGGCTTTGAGGGAAAAGAGATAAAAATAACAGCCAACATGGTTTTCCTTTGGAGTCTTTGGAGACCATAAAATGCTAGACAATACATACAGTCCTTTCCTATGAGGCTAACAATCTTCGATAGTATCTCATGAAGAGATATTATTTCAGTTTGTATTACATTTATATCATACAATTGTATTATATCACCATGGATCATACTTTGAACTGACAAAAATTCTGATATATTTAATTCAAATTCCAAACATGCTTATTTTACTTCTGCTTTCTTAAGAAATACGCAAACACAGATTTAACTTAAAAAAAATTTTTAAACCAAATATAAAGATAACATGCTCATCCTTTCAAGTACAATCAGGAGATGTTTTTGAAAATTTACAGAATGTTTTTCCAGATCTCAGACAAGCTGGCATTTGTAAAGTCTAGGACAAACAAAAAAGCTGCCTCCTGCTTCAGGAATACAGACTAAGGTCACTCAGTTACCATAAAACTAGGGTAAGCACAAACCACAAACCTTCAAACTCTTTTATTTCCATCTGGGAAATACTAACAATACAATTTTCTTCTTTCTTTTTGGAGGGGAAGTTGAATATAAAGGAAAGGTAAAAAGATAAGAGAGAGGAAAGAGTGAGAAGATGGTTATAAGAGAAAGAATTCATGTTGTAAATTGTTCCAACAAAAATGCAGTACATACCACATTAACAATGATGGTTAACACATACACAAAAACTAAAAATAAAAGATAATAGGAACCTATAAATATATTCAAATAGATTAAGGTGTGTTTCAATATTGTACTCCCCCACCCCCACTTTCATCTGAGAAAAATAGAAATTAGACAAGAAATGTGGCACTGAGTTATGCATTATTTAATTGTAAAAGCTGAGTATTCATACCATGATTAACCCTTCAAGTTAATACATGCAAAGTGATTCAATCTGAACCCACACTTAGAAAAATTTTAAGATTGTCATTTCCCCTGCAAATGATTGCTGAAAGAAGGGAGCTTAAAGGAAACTGCAAGAGTCAACAACAAAAAGCAGTGAGTAGTTGGCATTGAAAAATGAGTAGTAATTCAGGCTTCTCCTGATATGACTGGTTATAATGCTCTGCAGAAGTAAAGGGAAACAAAAAGATTACATTAAACTTACTATCATTCCATCTGCGTGCTTCTCCGCATTACTCTGGTCCTTAAGGAAAAATGTTAAAAATATTAACTTCATTCTTACATGTAAGTAACTCCTTGTGTATTTCTCCTACAAGAAAGCTTATTTACTAGGTAAGTAATAATGTTAGAACATGATTTATCTGCCTCCACTAAGATTTTAATTCCATGTGTACATTCTTAGCCAAACACAATTCTAACTCTGGCTACACAACAATCAACACCAACAGCATGGCAATTATTTTTCTATATAGGGATTTAACTAAGTTCATCGTGGAAATATCCTGTAGAACTGTAGTCACATTCAAAATTCCAGGCAAAAGTGATCTCTACATGGATGAACCTTTGAAAACATGATGTTAAGTGAAAGAAGCTAGTCACAAAAGACCACATATTGTAAGATTCAACTTACATGAAGAGTCAAGAATAGACAAATCTAGAGAGAGAAAGTAGATTAATAGTTGCCAAGGGCTGGATGGGGTGAAGAGTAGGAGGCTGTTGGAAGAGAAAGGGAGGCACTGACGCTCCTCAACTTACAATGGAGTTTACCTCCCAATAAACCCATCTTAAGTTGAAAATATTGTTAAGTCAAAGATGCATTTAATTCATCTAACCTACCAAACAGCATAGCTTATCCTAACCTACCTTAAACGTGTTGTAGAACACTTACATTAGCCTACAGTTGGGCAAAAACCATCTCGCAACACAGTACACAGTGCAGAGTTTCAGCTGGCTACCCTTGTGATCGCGTGGCGAACTGGCAGCTGTGGCTTGCTGCCACTGCCCAGTATAGTGAGAGAAGATCATATAGCATTACCAGTAGCCTGGGAAAAAACCAAAACTCAAAATTCAAAGTACAGTTTCTATTGAACGCATATTACTTTTCTGCCATCATGAAGTCAAAGAATCCTAAGTAAAACCATTATTAAGTCAGGGACCATCTATATAGAAAATCTATATAGAAAATATTTGCTTAATAGGTATAGGGTTTCTTTTTGCGGTGATAGAAGTATGCTAAAATTAGATTATGGTGATGGCTGTACAATTTTGTAAATATAACAAAAACCATTGAAATAAACCATTTGTTTATTTATCTCTTTATTGGCCGTCTACCCTAGAGTACAATCTTGGTGAGGACTTTGCTCATCTTACCACTTGTATTAATCTGCTTGGGCTGCCATAACAAAATACCATAGACTGGGTGGCTTAAAGAACATCCATGACTTTGAAGACTTGGTGCAAAAAGAGAAAGAGTCATGCCTGTAATGCCAGCATTTTGGAAGGCCGAGGACGGAGAATCACTTGAAGCCAAGAGTTTGAGACCAGTCTAAGCAACAAAGCAAGACCCTGTCTCTACAAAAAATTTAAAAATTAGTCAGGCACAGTGGTGAGTACCTGTAGTCCCAGCTACTCAGGTGGCTGAGGCAGGAGGATTGCTTGAACCCAGGAGTTTGACGTTGCAGTGAGTTATTTATGATTGTGACACTGCACTCCAGTCTGAGTGACAGAGCAAGACACTATCTCTTAAAAAATGAGAGAGAGAGTAAGAAAGAAGAGAGAGGGAGAATATGAACTATCTCATTAGTAAATTTTTATACTGATTACATGTTGAAATAATATTTTTGGTACACTGGGTTACTAACATACATTATTAAAATTAATCTCACTTGTTTCTTTTTACCTTTCGAAATGTTATAAGAAAATTTTAAAATACATTTATAGCTCTCATATTTTTATTGTATAGCACTGGTCTAGACTTAGGATAATCAACAGGAACTGACAAAATTAAAGCCTCAAATTCTAAGTAATCAACAGTATTTATTTGCATCTATTTTATGCAAGACTATAAAAACTACATAAATCAAATTGATCTGTGTCTACCTTGAAAAATGTTAATAGTCTCTATCTTTGCCTGTAAGAATGACCATTTAAAGTGCCTGATTTTAATTGTATTGAAATACTGTTTTACCGCATGATTTAACTGGTGAAAATCAACCAGAGTTTAAGTTTGTAGCAACTATACCTCAAAACCAAAGCATGTCTAGCATAGCCTTTTTCCCAATTTCAGTGATAATTAAACAATGCAAAAATAGTGTTCTAGTAAATCACAGTCAACCCCCTGGCACATGCCATTCTGACAGGCATTCTGAGTTGTGGTATGTGGTCACATCACCTGACTGTGATACTGGTTAAGTCTCCACCTGCAGGGGCCTCCTAGCTTATCTTCACTCTGTCCTGCCCTACTCCCCTTCTCTCCCCTTACTCCCCAGCTCCACTGCAGTCTCCCAGGAGAAGAACATCAGCTGTCTCCACCAAGGGTAAGGGGAGGGATGTCTTCTGAGATAACAAAGCCCACTTGAAAATTCCACTAACCAGGTGGTCTCAAAACTTTGTTGCACATTAAAACCACCCAGGGGGTTTAAAATAATCCCAATACCCAGGTGATACCCCACACAACAGAATTATAACACAATGTCTAGGGATGGGAGCCAGGAATCAGAACTGATTTCCAAATGACTCCAATATGCAGTAAAGTTTAGGAACCAATACACTAATCATTTAGGCAGGAGAGAATCTACTGGGAATAGGAATTCAAATCAAAGAATCAAAACTGGAAGGAGCTTAAAATTAAAATTTTTACTTACAGCATGCCGCCTCTAAGAAGCTGATACTAATCAGCCCCAAACAAGAAAGGTATCAAATTAGCTATCTTCTCATATCACTGTGGGGTCTCAAATGGCATTATCTCCCTCAAAGTAGTTGATTCTGGTATTTTATTAACCTGCCAGTGAATAAGAGTCTGCCAAAGTGGCTATAACAATTTATATTTCCATCAGTACTCAATGGAAGTTCTCCAACTTTTACCAGATGTGTTACTGTCACTTTAAAATTTGCATCCTTCTTTTTTTAAATTTAATAAACACTTATTTAGAGCTTATTACATGCCAGCTACCAAGAGCATCACAAATAATCATTTAGTCTCACAGCATCAGTAAGAGACAGACATTACTATTATCCCTCTTGTATATGGAATATAAACCAAAGCACAGAAAGGATAAATAAACTTGCTCCAGTGGTGGGGCTTGGATTCAAACTCAGTCTGGGGGCCATAATCCACGCTCTTTAAGACTATGCAAAGTTGACTGTTGTTATTATTTTAAAATCTTTTATCTTAATCATAGATTAACTGATTAAATTTACCTAAAGATTAGTTTATAGGGATGGTCATCACAGCACATCAGAGAGGTGGCTAAGTAAAAAAAATCATACATATAGTGAAAATACTAAACCATGCAACCATTAAAAGTAATGCATTAGAAAAATCACTCAGTAATTCAGTTATTTATCAGGCACCTCCTATATGGTAAGCAACTGTAGGCACTGAGGATACAATGGGGTTATGGACTGAATGTTTGTGTCCCTCCCCAAATTCCTGTGTTGAAGCCCTAACCCCAAAGGTGGCTATATTTGGAGATGAGACCTCTACAGAAGTAACTAAGGTTAAATGGGATCATAAGGGTGGGGCCCTGATTCAATAAGATTAGTGTCCTTGTAAGAAGAGAAACCAAACAGCTTGCTATCTCACACGTGCACGCTCCCTCTCTCTGTGCATACTCACCAAGGAAAGACTATGTGAAGACATGGCTATCTACAGGCCAAGAGAAGGACCCTCATCAGAAACTGAACAGGCCAGAATGTTGATCTTGGACTTCTGGCTTCCAGAACGGTGAGAAAATAAACTTCTGTTCTTTAAGCCACCCAGTCTATGGTATTTTGTTATGGCAGCCCATGCAGACTAATACAAGTGGTAAGACGAGCAAATTCCTCACCAAGATTGTACTCTAGGGTAGACAGTCAATAAAGAGATAAACAAACAAATATATCGTGTAAACTTGACTAGTGATACGAGGCCACGAAGAAAAAGAAACCAGTGGGAGGTATAGGCTATTTTAGATACAGGAGTCAGGAAAAGTCTTTCCAAAGATGTTCCTTGTGGCAGAAATATGAATAAAGTGAGAGAGTGAGCCTAGTGGCAATCTGTGGTAAATGCCCTCCACGTGGAGGGAACAGCAAGTAAAAATCCCTAAAGCCGGGGGCGGGGGTGGAGGGGGGAAGCTTGTCTTGCCTGAGAAAAAGAAATGAGCCAATGTTACTGGAATGGTGTGACCAAGCAAGGGTAGGAGACAGGTAAGAGGGCAGTGAACGTAAGTAGTTTCTATTTCATTCCAAATGAGATGGAAAACATCAGGGGTATTTGAGCAGGCAAGTGACACGGTCTCATTTACATTTAAATTAAGTTTAAAGATACAGAGTCCATATACAGTACAAATATAATTGAGGATTGTATTTGTACATAAGAAGACTTAACAACAATAAAACTTCCTTCTGGAATAAATAAAAGGCCAAATTTCATTTACGTGATCCAAGTTATCCATTGCGAAGAACCCTAAAACGTAGTTTTATTAAGCTGGGCTAACACAGACAGGTAGCAAGTACAAATTACACTAAAAATGTTCTCGATGAGTGGCTAAACAGTGAGCTACTGAAATAGGCTAGGCTGACCTACTGTACAACTATCTAAAGTCCTGAATGATTTTCAGAGATCACCCAAACTGGCTTAAACACTGTATCAGCTCCTCTGCTTCCCCAATCTTCAATAGAAGGCAGTATGTATTCCCTAAAATACCTAGTCACTCAAACAGGGCATGGTGTGGTTTACTGGTTATCTGTAGGTAAGCTTTTGGATAACTATAGGTGCTTCTACTCACCTATGTAATTCCAGAGCCAAGAAAAACTAAAATAAAAACTTTATCTCTTTTGTGCCTCCAATCCTATCTTTCCTTCTGCTTGGCTTTGGAATATACTATGATCTACAACAGGAAATGAAAAATTTAGACACATACATAGGAAATCTAGATATCACTAACATCTAGAAACAGAACATAAGCCCTAAGTTCTGACACTTTAAGTATAATACATTGGGCTGGGTTTGGTAGCTCACGCCTGTAATCCCAGCACTTTGGGAGGCCAGGAGTTCAGACCAGCCTGGGTAACATGGTGAAACCCCCATCTCTACTAAAAATATAAGAATTAGCCAGGCGTGGTGGTGCATGCCTGTAACCTCGCTACTCAGGAGGCTGAGGCACGAGAATCAGTTGCACCCAGGAGGCAGAGGTTGCAGTGAGCTGAGATTGTGCCACTGCACTCCAGCCTGGGCAACAGAGCGAGACTGTCTCAAAAAATAAAAAATATATTTTAAATCAGGCCTCAAAAGAAAATGACATTGCCCCATTTAATTTATAAGCTAAATATCCTTACTATCCAAATGCAAATGGACTGTCCTATGCTATTGTGTCATTAACAACAGTAGGTTAAAAGTCTCTATGATTTGGCAAACAAACATATGCAACTGAAGAAGTAAAAGAGATGAGTAATTATAAACTCATTCAAACAACATTTCTCAACTGGGCTGTGGAGCTGGTCACCCACCCCTTGCTAGCCACTTGCTGGAAATAAAGGGGTGTAGTGAGGTAGAAATAGTTTTAAAAATTCCTATTCTCAAACAATAATATTCTTATTTCAGAAACTCTCAGGCAATAAAATATATATTTAGGTTGAATACACCAAAATTTTTCAGAAAAAGAGACAACATATATGAAATTTTTAACCCACAATAATTCAAAATATATTTTGTTTCATGAATAAGGAAGAATAATTAAAATCCACTAACGTAGTTCACTACCAGAAAAAAATCCGTAAAAATTTAAAAAATATATCTCTATTATATTCTTCATTATGGACAATAACTGTCAGAACTTACTTCTCTATTTTCTAAGAAAAACTTTTTTTGTGGAAGGTTTTGTAAAATATGTCCCTGTTCTAAGCAGTGATAATGGATAAAATGGAAGGAAGGGATGAGTCATTCAAACATGCTCCCCTCCTTCCCAGCTACCAGAAATGACATTACCAGAAACAGTAGCTAAGATAATAGCCAAACACAACAGTTGTTCCATAGAATAAGCTCACAATACAGTTTAATGTAGAAAGGTACTATGTTTCAGATCTGAGTTTTTTTGCTATTAAAGAAAAACGCCATTATAATTTTTGAACTCCATACACAAAGGTAATTGAAAGTAAAATTTACTTACTTTGGCAATCTGCAGCAACACAATGCAGTGTTTAATTGATTCTACCATGCTCTATAAAAACAAAACACTGATTTTAGGATCTTGGCTCAAATAAATGGATATATAATGTTAAAGCTTAAAATATAAAAATCAGTTCAGATGTATAGAGTTTAAGTCTATACTACACAAGAAATATCCTCTTTGGATCTAGTGGGTTCTAGTATGCTGATAATGCCAAATGAAGTTATTCATTAGCAGTTCTATGAATTTTAACGAATGCCACAAATTGTTAATTTATACTAAATAATATCTAATTTTTTTTTCTTTTTTTTTTTTTTTAAGAGACAAGGTCTCACTATGCTGATCACGCTGGATTGCAGTGGCTATTCACAGGCACAATTATAGCACACTGCAGCCTCAAACTCAGAGGCTCAAGCGATCCCCGTCTCAGCCTCCCGAGTAGCTGGCACTACATGCACATGCCACCGTGCTTGGCTCTAAATGGTTTTTCAACACTTCAAACAGAAAGACATACGAATCTGATTAACTTACGAATTCTTACATCAACAGCAAGCAACCCTAAGAAATCTACCTAAGACACTGATAGGCTGGGTATGGTGATTCACACCTGTAATCCCACTGCTTTGGTAGGCCAAGGAAGGAGGATCGCTTGAGGCTAGGAGACCAGCCTAGGCAACATAGCAGAATCCCATCTCTATAAAAAATTAAAATAAAAATTAGCTGTGTGTGGTAGCGTGTGCCTATAGCCCTAGCTACTCAAATGGCTGAAGCAGGAGGATTGTCTGAGCCCAGGAGTTCGAAGCTGCAGTGAGCTATGACTGCACCATTGTACTCCAGCCTGGATGACACAGCAAGACCCTGTTTCTTAAAAAAAAATAAAAAGACTTTGATGGAAGTATGGAGAATAAAGGATCCTGTCAAAACACTGGTGAATCAAATTATTATTTTACCTGTTTTAAAATTTTGAGCAAGGTACACATCTCATAAGTAGCCCATTATATAATGTCAGAAGTCCACTATATCAGAAAACTTGAATTATAATATATTTTAATAAGAAAGAAGCCAGCTGCAGTGGCTCATGCCTATAATCCCATCACTTTTTTTTTTTTTGAGACACAGTTTCGCTCTTGTTGCCCAGGCTGGAGTGCAATGGCACGATCTCAACTCACTGCAACTTCTGCCTCCCCAGTTCAAGCGATTCTCCTGTCTCAGCCTCCAGAGTAGCTAGGATTACAGGCATAAGCCACCACGCCTGGATAATTTTGTATTTTTAGTAGAGATGGGGTTTATCCATGTTGGTCAGTCTGGTCTGGAACTCCCAACCTCAGGTGATCCGCCCACCTCGGCCTCCCAAAGTGCTGGGATTACAGGTGTGAGCCACCGCGCCCGGCCAATCCCACCACTTTTGAAGGCTGAGGCAGGAGGATCGCTTGAGCCCAGGAGTTGAGACCTGGACAACATAGTAAGACCCTGCCTTAAGAATCAAAGAAATTAATTATTTTTTTTAAAATATGAAATAACATATCCACTGTGCGTGGAAGACACCTTTTATCAAGATTTCAAACGAGACCAGAAACAGGTAAATGGTACATGAAGTCAATTTCGATTAAGGGGCTTATTCTATTAGTATTATTTTAAATTCCTTTAAAAAAAAATACAATGCTTAAGCACCCCTGTATAATATTCATAAAAACTAACATCTCAATTGCTGTCATCAATAGTGGCAGCTTAAAATAGAAATAACTTTTTAAAACATTTTCTAATGCAAAGTCAGAATGTATCAAACATATAACTTACATTTGTTGTCTCTTTGAGAGTTTCAATTTTCTGTGAAAAATAATAAGTTTAAACAGAAATAATCAGAAGCACAAAGAAGGACGGTTATTTTTTACTGGCTAGTCATTTAAAGAATTTTACCAAAATGTACTCATTCTAAGTGAGTACAAGCAAGTTGGGAAGGGAGTACTTTTTGTTGTATTTTGTTTTTTATCTAAATCAATTATTTGTATAAAAATTCCAGACTTTTATGAATTATATGTTCTCTTTAATAAAATTCACGTGATTCAATTTAAGGTTTGTAAGAATAATATAAAACATTCTTATTCCTGGCTGGGCACGGTGGCTTGAGCCGGTAATCCCAGCACTTTGGGAGGCCGAGGTGGGCGGATCATGAGGTCAGGAGATCGAGACCATCCTGGCTAACATGGTGAAACCCCACCTCTACTAAAAATACAAAAAATTAGCTGGGCGTGGTGGCAGGCACCTGTAGTCCCACCTACTTGGGAGGCTGAGGCAGGAGAATGGCGTGAACCTGGGAGGCAGAGCTTGCAGTGAGCCGAGATCACGCCACTGCACTCCAGCCTGGGCGACAGAGCAAGATTCCATCTCAAAACAAAACAAAAAACAACAACAAAAAATTCTTATTCCTTACCTGAAAGCAAGTTTTGGCTTTTCTACGAATTTCACTTATTTTAAAATCACATTTATCTTTCCTAAGTTGTTTTAAAACGACATGGGACTAAATCCCAAAACTAAAAATGAAAGGTGAGTTATAACATGAGTTACTATTAACAGGTATAAAAGAGCCAAACGCAAGGCTATACAGTCAACAGAAGAGCAAAAAAAAAAAAAAAAAAAAAAAAGCCAAGGAGAGGAAAAATGTTAATTAGAAAAAAGACAATATGCAAACTACAAAGTAGCTGTCAGAAATGCAAGTGGGGGACAATAGCAGAACCATAATTAAAGCAGTATTTGATTTGTTTCTTCATATATGGCTTTTTATTTATTCTGAACATTCTTGCTGGTTGGTTTATTGGTATCTGAAGTGACCATATGTAACCAACTTTCTACCTTCAACATATGATACATGAAAAGGAAATAACTTACTCCTAGGAATATGATACAGAAAAGGTATTATATTAAAACTCTGGGCTGGGTGTGGTGGCTCACACCTGTAATCCCAGCACTTTGGGAGGTCAAGGTGGGTGGATCACCTGAGGTCAGGAGTTCGAAACCAGCCTGGCCAACATGGTGAAACCCTGTCTCTACTAAAAATACAAAAATTGGCCAGGTGTGGCACATGCCTGTAATCCCAGCTACTTGGGAGGCTGAGACAGGAGAATCATTTTAACCCAGAGGGTGGAGGTTGCAGTGAGCTGAGATCGTGCCAATGCACTCCAGCCTGGGCAACAGAGCAAGACTATCTCAAAACAAAACAAAACCAAAAAAACTCCACAACTCTGTATATTATCCTTTTGTTTAATTATGAAACCATAACAGAAATTTATCAGAAAAGTACCCTTGAGGTCCATATGGCAGTAATATTACACTAGGTCAATAATATTATTATAGTAAGTAAAAACACACTAAGATACTTAGTGTTCTCCAAAAGGCTGAATTTAAAATTTTTAACGTCAAAAGCACGGTTATGGAAGTTACCTTTCTCTGTTCATCTTCTTTGCAGTTTTGAAGCTTGTCATCAAAAAGCTACAAGATTTTAAAAAATGGTTATAGTATCAAGCCACTTTACTATACGATGTACATTCACTAAACACAGAAAAACAAACATTTGTTCTTAAACACATTTTGTCCAGGGATGATTTATATGTTATTTTCAAGACAACATGTATTTTTTTTCGAGCACTCAATCAAAGTCAAATTCTATTGTATGAAATCATTTTAACTGGTCAAGATCAATCACTCTGGAAGAATTATAAGCAAAAGAAAACAGATGACTTTTAAAAAATTAAACTATGAATTCAAACTTGAAGTTTTTTTTCTGCTTTGTTTTCCAAGTTTATCAACAGTCCTTTTCCCAGCACCTCTGCTTTTAATTAATTTTAAGTAGGAACTGAAGGAGACAATTCATTTCAGTAATGATAAAAGAGGTAGAGAAATCACCTCCCCATATTCCATCTCCCTCAAATTAAAAAAGTGTTAGAAATTGAGCCACTAGGCAGGGCACGGTGACTCACACCTGTAATCCCAGCATTTTGGGAGGCCGAGGCAGGCGGATCACAAGGTCAGGAGTTCGAGACCAGCCTGGCCAATATGGCGAAACCCCGTCTCTACTAAAAATACGGGCACCTCTGTAATCCCAGCTACTTAGGAGGCTGAGGCAGAAGAACAATTGCTTGAACCCGGGAGGCGGAGGTTGCAGTGAGCTGAGATCGTGCCACTGCACTCCAGCCTGGGTGACAGAGTGAGACTCTGTCTCAAAAAACAAACAAACAAAAAAAGAAATTGAGCCACTAAAACACAGTTTCATGGAAATTTTAAACAGAATATGAACCAAATCTTGCCTTATTTTTTTCTAATTATGCCTACATATTTACCTTTTTTTTCTTAATGACCAAAAAAGCATTATGTAAATATGCTATTTACCAATATAATTAGAGATAAAGACCTTTGAATAAGTCAGCTAGATCTTTTAAGTCTGCTTTAAAAACTGCTGAAGAACCACATGAGGGCTGTAAATTAACATCAAGTAACTGTTTTTACTCAAAAATCAAGCTCAGTAACATTTTCTATTTATATAAATTTAATATACAAACTAATGCCATACCTTTAATTGTTCAATCAAGATTTGTAGGTAAGCATCAGCTTCTGTAAGTTTCTTATCAAAATCTTGGACACTAGGAACAAATCCTGAATCCAAACCCTAGAGAAAGAGAATTTGCAATAAATCTACCAGAACCCAAGCAAAGTTTAATAGTACAAAAAATACTTTTCCCTTCATACATGAAGACATTTCAATTTTTAAAATACAGTTCTATTTTGACACAAATAATAGGTCTATTTAACAGTTAGGTCTATTTAAACAGTGGTACATCAATCTTCCTCATTAACTTGGAGCACTGCTTCCCTTCTCAGCAGTTACACATGCTGCTGCTCAAATTGGATTTACTCTTCTCTCCAGAATCACTTTCTTATCTCCCCCAAACCCTGTAATTGGCTCCCAGTCACCACTAGAACAACAGTAATTTAACAAAGGAACATAAACAAAACCCACCTAGGTTACTTCTATTTTCCCCTTTTTCATTCAGTTCATTCCTCCCTTCCCTTAATGTTAACTTCATATTCTCACTGTTTAGTTCTCCCATTCCTCAACCCACCCCATGATCTCTGAAGTTTTCCTCCCTCCTCCCCTACTAAAGAAAGAACCTCTAAATTTTCTCCTCTTCTAAGAGGTGGCCCCTCTCTAAGTGAAAGTAACAACACCTGTCCTAATCAAGTTTCCTACTCACTTTCACCCTTGGCATGAACACTACACTTAGACGTGGTATAGATGTTTATTTATTTAGAAGGCCTACTTATTTCTCGGTCTAAAAGTGCAGCATTTGCATGTCCTACTTTTTGCATACGTAAAGAGTTTAAGCTCCAAGAGCATGGGATTCTTATGTTTTAACTTTAGCCAAAAGAAACTTTTGAGTTCTTAATCTTCTCTGACTGCCACATTTTCATGCCCAGTCATCATACTGTTAAGCAGGGGACTGAGGGTTAGGAACTGCTACTGTAAAAATCCCAACCCAACCACAAAATTCTGCACTAAATGGGTAAAATATACTTGATCAACATACCCATCTCACACTTGACTTTCACTTGTCATCTCCTCCCTGCCTTCGCCCAAAGCATGCTGATTATTTTCACATTCTCATTTTAGTAAACTGAAGCCAAAGTTTATTTTATATTACAGCAACACCTGATCTTTGTATACTTTATCATTAAAGCACTTTTACAACCATTATCTCAAAACATCAAATTAAGATGGTATGGTATTATGGAAACAGTAATGGGCTGGCAAATCTGGTTTCTAATTCTAGTGCATTCACTAACACAATATTGTGGCTGTCCAAATCTGGGTTTTCTTGCCAGCCAAATACGGGCATCCTCCTCCTCCTATTATTAGTACAGCAGCTACTACCTCTACTAAAGACAACAACTAATGACACTATCAATTACTACTATTATAGTACTTTTGTTGCTCTTCCCAAACTAAAATTCAAAAATTTGGAACCAAAGAAAAAATAGAATTTTATTAAAAATCTAAGTCCTATTAAGACCATGGGAAAAATCAACTTATCTCATAATTTGTTTTCTTTTTCAAATTCAAAGGCGATAAATGTCTATTTTACATACATATCAAGAAACTGTTTGACAATGAGTATTACAAAGCCCCTTCCCAATGAGATGACATGTACAAAAACAAAAGTTGAAAAAAAAAATCTTAATAAACAATGTATACAAAATCCAGATATATTTATAAAACTGTGTTTAAACTTCTTCATTTTTAAAGATAACCCAAAGAAGTTCCTGTTAGAGACATTTAAAATATACAGTTTGGTGACAAAAGACATAGAAATGGATAAGTACATCATATTTCATAGATATTAGAGTACTGTACTATGAAAGAAATGAGCAACTTATTTCCATGTTACTGTGCCACAGAAAAATCAGGACTGTTTGGCTTGTTTTTTGGTTTTGTTTCACACAGCAATGTAACATGATTATCAATAATTAACTATCAAGACCCAGTTAAAATCAGCTAAATACATTGTTTTTAGTAAATATTTTAAAAGGTTAATGGCATATTCATAAATGAATAAAAAAAGCATCTAAATGAGAGGGGAAAAGTGATCTTTAAGTATTTTCACTCTTCTGAATCCATTTAGAATTAACATTGTAAAAATCTAACTAAAACATCCTTTTTAAACAAATTACCGATTAGATTAAAAATTGTTCAGTGACTGAATGGAAACAGATTTAAATTACTGCTATCTAAACCTTACCTAAATCAATTCTTCAGAAACAACTTTTTGATGTTTGTAGAATCATATAAACCTCACCTTGACTCTCTTCTTACACTTGCCTCTAGATAGTCTTCCATAACCTTCTTTTAACTCTAGAATAAACTTCACACTTCACAAGGTCCAAGCCAAAGATCTACTCATCAATCCATTTTTCTTTAGGTAATGTGTAACAGGAGGTTTATAATGACAGTCCCAGAACTGGCCCAATCACCCTTGCATAGTAATGCAAAAATTTTTCATGTATTTAAAAGGAAAATTTATGTATATAGTTGCCCCATCTGCAACCAATAAAATATCATGTAAAATTCATCGATAACATGAACAAGTAGTTAACAAGTGTTTTCTCAAATCTAGTAAAACTAATACTCTAGAAGAAAGCACAAGTATGACTTTATATTGTGACTTACAGCAGTCACCTAATTCAACCTCCCATTCACAGAAGTTCTTTTCATAACATCTTTGAAAGTCATCTAGTCTTGTCTTAAGTATCTCATGAGATGAGAAACCCACTACTTCCTAATGTAGAATATTTCATTAAAATTCTCCTGAAGTGTTAACTGTTTCTCTTTCCATTCAACATTTAGAACACTAAGCCACAACACTTATTCATATTAATCCTTTTTAATGGAGATTTATTTTTATTTATTTTTTGAGACAGGGTCTTGCTCTGTCACCCAGGCTGGAGTGCAGTGGTACAATCAGGGCTCACTGCAGACTCAACCTCCTGAGCTCAGGGAATCCTCCCACCTCAGCCTCCCAAGTAGCTGGGACTATAGGCATGTGCCACCAAGCCCAGATAATTTTTTATTTTACTTTTTTTGTGGAGACAGGGTCTTGCTATGTTGCAAGACCCTGTCTCCGCAATAAAATAAAAACTCCTGAGCTCAAGCAATCCTCCCACCTCAGTGTCCCCAAAAGTGCTGAGATTACAAGGTGTGGGCCAATGCGCCCGGCCGAGTTTTAAACAGGACTAAGAATATAGTCCTTTACCATATTGAGGGTGGTCTGTCTTTGAAAAGAACTGAGAATAGGGCAAATTCTTTCAGACAGTGTGACTTCATACTTCTTACAGTAGCTTTTGAGAACAAGTAAGCTGGGAGTCAAGTAGATACACATTCTAGTATTCTGTACTTGCTCTAACATTTATCACATTTTATCATAATTGAATATTTGAGTGACTTCTCTGAAGGATTAAAACTCCACAAGGGCAGGAACTATGCCATTCATTCATCACTATACCCATCAGGGCCAGCTCAGTGTTAAATGAACACACATGGCGCTGGCTACAGTGACTGGAAATTGTTGATGCCACAACATCGGTCTTCCCCCGACCTCCTCTCCCGAGATTTCTCTTACCTTTCTGTTCTCTTTCTCCTATTCTCTACTCCCTCAAGCCTTTTCTCCATGTTGTCTTTCTTTCTCTTTTGTCCAGGTCCTTCAGTAGTAACTGAAGGGATTATGTCGCATTATTGGCACTCAGGACCAAAGAGGTTGCTGCTCTTTGGTTTATTACACTGATGTGAGCCACAGCTCTAATTAGATGATTCCTGTATGAATTCATTTAAAGTTTAAATTATACACAACAATTATAGAGAAATAAAGACAAAATGGTCTGTGATGTAACAAGAAATTAAATTAGAAGAATCTCAATAGAAATTAAACTTCAATCTAACCATAAAATTTAGAAACCTATGTAAAGAAAAACCACTTCTGTGGTGAATATGCTAAAAAAAAAAAGTCTCTGTTTTTCAAAAACACTTTATTAATAAAGCTACTCTAGCCTGGGCACAGGGTAAGACCCTCAAAAAAAAAAGAAAGAAAGAGAGAGAAAGAGAGGTTGGGGGAGGGAGTGGGGAGAGAGGGAAGGGAAGGGCAAGGGGAAGAGGAAGTAAAGAAAAAAGGGAAGGAAAGGAAAGGAGGAAGGAAGGAAAGAAGGAAGGGAGAGAGAGGGAGAAGGAAGGATGGAAGGAAGGGAGGGAGGGAAGGAGGGAAGGAGAGAGGGAAAGAGAGAAAGAAAAGAAGCAAAATCTAAAGTAGATACATAAAGTCAAGAAGAATAACACATACTTCTATATCATCCAGAATCTATGTATCCAGTTTAATAGAGAGAGAAAGAGAAACATACACATCTGGGCCAATTTAAGGGGAATTTCTAAAATAATATAACTAGACTTGTAGAAGAATATCAAACTGCCTCAAAACTGTATGTCGGTACTTCCTACTACCTTTCTAATACTTAAGTTAAATAACACTACTTTTTTCAGAAGGAACTTAAAAGCTAACAAATGTCAGCAAAATCAATTCTTAATGATTTCAGTTGGGACATTAAACACTATTTATACTTTACACATACACGTAACTGAATGTTTTACCCCCATTAAAAGGAGTACTGCAAGAGAAGTCCTTAAAACTGTCTGAAGTGCATATAAATTATAGTTGCTTTGGAGAGACACTTCCTTAGTAAAACAACACAAGAGTCAATTCCTGAGGCAGAGTAGGAGCTTTTAAAGTAATTCCTGCTGACAGAGGAAGAGTAATGAACAGTGGAGATAAAGGTGAAGTTCTTGAGTCCAGAATCCGGAAATTAAGAAACCTATGGGCAACCTGAGGAACCGAGAATAAGGTAGAACAGGAAGGCTGAGTAATAACATTGTAAAAAGAAATTCACAAATGAATAATTGTTTTCATATCTAATTTTATTTCACAGTGAAAACTTAAAGGAGTAAGTGTCCTATATGCAGTACTTTCTTATAGGGCAAAATCATATATAATAAAAATATGTTGTAAAAAGAGAAAAAGAAAATATATTAGAAGTAAGTTATTCTTTGTCTCATAGAAAAAATCAGAATAACAAGAAAAACAGGTAAGTTATCAGTAGTAGAACTGTAAATTAAACAATAGCTTAAAAACTTAACAAAGAAAAAACACACAACAAGCCTCCTAATGAAAAATAAATGGCATGAATCTGGACAAAAGCAGACATTTTTTTTTAATTAGTAAAACACATACCCTATAATAAAACTAATGAAAACTTAGCAGGAATGTAATTTTGATTAAAATATGAGAATATTGGAAAGTTTATGTTCACAATTAGCAATTTGAGATGACATGCATCACAGATAAGCTTTCATCCAATGAAAGAAGTATAGAGCATACTTACAATTCAATCACTTACAATTATTTTTGAAAATTCAAGAACTGGAGAGATACCAGAAGACTGGAAAAAAGCAAGTGTGGTACTGATCTTCCATAAAAGTAAGGAAAAGAGAGAATAGAAAGTTACCATGCTGTGAGTCTAACATCAATAATCAAGTAAAGGAATAGTAAGAGAAAAATCTGTAACTACACAGAGGAAAAGTAGGTACATGAGCAGCAAGTGGCAAGTTAAAAAAAAAAAGATTATGCCAAACATAATGGCCTTTCTTAGAAATTTAAGTTAGCAAATTAAGTTTTTAGAGAAATGACATCTTGTCTCCCTACCAAAAGTGGTTTGACGATGAAAAAAAGTATATTAAAGAGACCAGAAATATTACTTATACCATGATTTTATGTGAGGCACACTAATCTGTGATTTCCTTGGATTACTGAAAATTTGGAAACATTTACAATCCCTACTGTCCCCGTGGTTTATCCATTTCTGCTAAGGGAAGAACAGGACTTAGAAGAACAGGGAAGTTCTGGGGTTAAGATTTTCATCTCTTTTAATCCTAAGGAATAGTCAACTATCAATTCATTTGGAGTGAAGATCATCAATTAAAAAATATCCATAAAATTGAGCCTAGTATTAAACCTTTCCTTTCACTATACCTTAGAGAAGTTATTTTCCATTTACCAATGTCTTGATAATCTAAGGCTTCAAATTAGGTTCTTTATTGTCAACATGGTAGCTGTAGTTACCTTACCAACTGCTAGGTACCTCAAGAATGCCCTGAAAAGTAAGGTCTTTTTCTGTAATGCTAAGTAAGCAGCTCTAACATCATGGATGCACAATGTATATTAAATTTTTTTCAGAGTATTAGGTACTCTACTAGACACTTTACAAGCTTTCTCATTTGAGCATTATAATACAGTAAGGTAGACAGATATTAAACCTGTTTTATAAGTGCTTACCCAAATCATCCAGCTGAATTTTTTTTCAATTGGGATATCAACCTAGTCCTTTGACCAAATCCATTATACTTTTCTATTAAATCACAATGATGTTTAAAAGGAATTAATGACAGAAGGGCACTAAAATGTAATCTAAAAACTGCCTGAAGGCCCTTGACATAGTGGAAACGAGCACAGCTTTAAGGACTCATCTAGTTTTAAATCCTGAATCTGCAACTTTCTAATGAATTACCTGTGTGATCTAGCCAAATTACTTTTTTCACTTACATTTTCTCATCCATGAGTATAATAATAAACTACTCAAGGTTACTGGAGAGATTAAATGAGTAATACATGTAAAGTAACACAGTGGTAGGTGTTCTACTTCCCCTTCATAATTTGGAGCCTTAGATAACCAGGATTCACCACTATATCTCCAGGCCCTTACGCATAGAAGGCACTCAATGAGTACGGATGGATAAAAACAAAACGAATCAAGAACTAGATAATACTATAACCACAGGCAATTTTCATATAGATCTACAATCAAGTAAAGGCTATAAGCATAAGTTAAATTGTATTTAACATCTGTTTTAAAAACAAGCTATAAGTTGATGAACTCCCAAGAAGATAATAGAGAATGGTAATAAAAAAGAAATGAATAACAGACAAAACAAGTGGTAAAACACAGTATGGAAAACAGAGCAGGAAAAATATTCCAATATGAGATGTTCAGGAAAGCACTGGGTATTATGACTGAACCACAAAAGGTAAACTGTACTTAATTATTACCTTGGTAACAAAGAATCAAACAATATAAAGAAAGTTTTTTTCATAAAAGAATCTAATTTTTGAACATATGTTAGTGCTTTGAAAAACCAGAATTGCGTTTATCTTTAAATTTACAAAGAAAGGTTTATGTGTAATGTTCAGTTTCTGCTAAAAAATAAATCTGGTACAGCTAAAATCTGGTACAGGAATCGGGTACAGCTAAAATGCAAGAACTTCAATCATAACCCTTAGCACAATTCCTTACTCTTCATGATACCCTCATCTGATACTAATACACCCTTTGACTTATAGAACAAAACACAAATACTAACTCCATAAAGTGATTTGGTTACTTATACAACTAAACAATAAAGGTCTGGAATTCGTACCATTTTTCTCTATTTAAATCACTGACAGCTTGTCTTTCCCAGACACTCCCAATTTATTCAACAAACCCATATAAGAAGTTACTAAACTAACCAAAACAAACAAAAAACTTAAGTCTGTAAATAGGATGACTGTATATTTTAGTTTGCCTGGATGGTCAGTTTATGCCTGGTTGTCTCAGCAAAGTTATTATTAGCAGCCTCCTTCACTCTCAAGTATCCCAGTTTAGGCAATAAATTACATGGTCACCCTCTCTATATAGGATATAGCTAGGATTTTTAAGACACAAATGTTATGAAAGGCATATAAAATTGCCTCAGATGATTCAGAATCCAGCAAATTGCCTTTTTAAAAAACTACAAAACCTAAAATGAAATGAGTTTACAGGTTCTGAATGCAGAAAGCAAGCTACAGAAATAAAAGACACTGGAATTCAATGCAGTTAATATTAACTGAGTGCTTACCTTATGCTAGATAAGTACACACATGAATAATACTCAAGTTGCAGTTTTATGTAATTTTACTTACGCACTAGAAGTTTCATTTTAAAAAATGTACACACACACACACACACACACACACACACACACACACCCCTGAAATATAACACATGAAACAAAAGAAACAAAACACCTGCAGTTACCCCTAGGGAATGGGACTGAGGAATGAGGGCATGTGAGACAGTGACTCTGAGTTTTTATTTTACACATTCATGTTGTTTAATTTTTTAAAATAAATATGCATTTATTTTATAATTTACATTCAAAAGCTTTAGGTAAAAATGTTCAGAAGCTACAGGTTATGAACATTTTTAGAAAATTTTATAACCATTTTAGCATGCAAGGTCATAAGCATTATTCTTTTGAAATTGTCTATAAAATTATAAAATGTTTTCCAGGAGTAAATCTGGCAAATGCTAAAGCTGCTCAGATACACCTTTCCAAGCAAAAAAGTAGGATAGCAAATTTATAATATCATTTAAAGGTAAAGCACGCACTAGCAAAAAGCACTTAAAACTTCGTAATCACTATACTGGAATAAATAAAATAATGAAAAGTGGCCAATATAACCAAGCAAAATGGCAAAGTTTTTTTTTTCCACCTCCTTCCTGCCAACAACATGATCATGACTCAACATCCAAGAAAGCAATCTCTTAAAGAAGAAAACACCTACTACAGCACACCACCTAACAAAAGCACTGTTGGACTATGTAGTGCTGGCAATCAGCCAACACTTTTCTTCTGAGATACTTTAGTTGGTTAGGCTACTTGCAGTATCTTTCTTAGAAGTCATGGAGTAAATCATTCCAGGATCTAAATAAACTCTGAGAGGTTTACTAGTACAGGATGAAAGAAAAATATTCTTCCATTCCCCAACCTCAGATTAAGAGCATTTTGGAAAGCCTATCTGGAGTCTACTTTTAAGGATCCATCAAAAATGAGTAAATTTCCTGGAAATGTGTTCTACAAATAACTAGGAAAAATTAACATTAAATACGTGAATCCTTAAACTGAGTACTTTAGTAGTTAGTTCAGGTTCTGAAATAACTGCAAAATTCTTATAGCCTAATACTTCTTGAAAATTTGATTATGAAATGTTTTCAAAAACAAAACCTGATATATTAATCTAACAAGACTGAATCTCTACAGCAGAATATAACAAATTGACAAATTAACACTCAAGGTGATAGCTAGTCAGGACTAACAGATAGATGATCAGTCACAGGCAAACAAAATAAAACAACGACCCTGACTTGAATAGACTCAACAATTGTTCTGACATTTATCTCTTAGAAATTATATATGCCAAAGCTGTCTTCGTATATCTAATTTTAGCTGCCAATGAGTACCAGAAGAAAACAGATTCGGTTTTCGCTAAAGTTGTTAAAAAGTGCATACAAAATTACTGATTTAGTTTAATTGTCAGAATCTATCAAGATGATATAAAATACAAGCCAATGAAAACAGGACTTCGTTTTATTCTCTACTATCTCCACCGGGCTAGTGTTTGGTTTGTAGCAAGTCCTCAATAAAAATTTTGTAAATGAATTAAGGAATTCTGCAATGTGCCCACCTGTTAACATTTAAACACAAAAAGTAATCAAGGAACTAGTTCTTGCAGATTATAAATCAGAATATTCGTGGAAAAATCATAAATAACTCATAGAGTTATTTTAAGGGATTTATTATATTAGTTGGTTGCTGTAATGTATGGCTGCTGAATTTTTCCAAGGCTAAACGTTTTTAAGAAGAAAGAGAAACTAACTAGGAGAAAAACACATTGAAATAAATGGTAGTAAAACAAGAAACAAGATGAGGCAATGACAATCTTCTTGTCTCTCTAAAAACTCGTTATCTCACACTAAATCTTATCCTGAGCACATTTTTACACATACTATGCTGGACCTTAGAATTCAGTGTTACAATAATTACTTATTCACTGAGCATCTCTTATGACTATGGCCCTGTGCCGGATCCTTTGGGGATGCCAAGATGAAGCAGACACAGATCTAAAAGAGTTTCATTCTATTAGAGGGAATATATATCTGTCTACAAATAATTGATTCAAGCATGGTAAAATGTTATCAGAAAAGCACGAAGAAATTCAAAGGAGAAAGTTATAAGGACGAGAAAGCTTTCACAGAGGATGCAATTTAGAGTGTAGGATTTGGACAGAAATGGGAGGGGTAAAGCAGTACTCCACCGGGCTAGTGGGCCCTGGCAGGAAACAGCATAATCAGATACAATGTTTGAACTTTTCTTTAATCAAGTGACTACAGTACCCACAGAAGTGAGAGTAGGGCTAAGAAAACTAACAAGAGATGCTGAGGTACTCAGGAATTAAGAGCTGCAAGTAGCCTGAAGGGGCAAGGAAACAAACAAGGTTCCCACCGGCCAGTGGACATGGACGGCTGTAAAACAGTCACTGCCAGAATTGCCTCAAAGCATGGAAGGAGCAGAAGGAACAAATACTCCAAAGGCCTTTTTTCCCTTCCATTTTCTGTCACTGCTTCCCATTTGCTAAACCCCAACCAGAAGCCAAGGGATAAAGGATCCCAGATGCTGAAAGCTGTAAAAGTCAGCCTCCTAGAGCACGGAAGAGAGAAGGCCAGAGAACAAATCTGCAAGAAAATGGAGAATAACCAGAAAAGGCATATTCCCAAACTGAGGAGCTGAGAAGCACAAGGAGGCCAACTGAGGAACAATATTCTGTTACAGAAGAATGTATATTTTTTGGATCTGGATGCTGAATCTCAAGGAAACCAAAATTAGTGGCTAAAAATGGGAATAAGTACTAGGGTTTGGGGGGGAAAGGCGACCAAGGGGTGGAGACTACCAGGGCAGCACCCTGAGTCTCTCTGGAGAAAATAAAAGAGCAAGAGTCATCTAGGCTCTGGCCCTAGTCATTTACTCTCTAGCTATGTGGCCATGGGCAAGTCGTTTAGCTGCTTTGAGACTGATTTCTCCACAATAATAAAAATTTTTAAAAAGGTAGAAATGGAATTAGAATTTGAAAATTCTCTCCAGCTCTAGGATTGTGTGATGCCAATACTTCCAGGTAAACAACTAGGTTCACCAGGAGGATAAATTCCTAACCATATTGGAAAACCTGGGGCCCGTGTATTCACCTTAATAAAAATTAATTTCATTTAAATAAACACAGTAAGAATTTACAGGTTCCAACTGCAGCCAAGTCCTCCACGGTATGACAAAATATGTCAAAACACAAGCAAACTCTGTCATTTAGTGTAACCTTGAAACTGAGTGAGAAAGACTAACACAACCAGATTTTAAAACATGCTCTGGAATGCAGAGAATGCAAAGAAACAACGGAGTAAGCAGAATAACTTAATTGAAGTGGCACATTTTGGGAAAAACGAGTTGTTCAGTCAATACAGCAAAGAAGCCAAGTTCCTAAAGGTGTCTCCAGAAATAAATGAACTCCAATATGGCAGGAACTACAGTTCTCTTCTCTCTCTCCTGCGTGCGCACATGTATACACACACATACAGAGCAACCAAACCATTCATTCATGACACATATATTTATTTAATGTCTATTATGGCCAGGTACTATCATCATCTTCAAAGGATGTCTTTAAGGACAATAGAGATAATATTAATAGCAAATATAATTAAGCATTACCTAATCATCTGGAATGAGCTCAAATTTCACCTTTAAAGCAGTTTCCCTGACATTCTAGCTAGCCTACATGCTTTTTCCTATGATACTAACAATACTCCAGAACCAATTAGTACTCGTACTACTATTAGTATTATTTTAATCATGTTAGAGGTCCTATAGATTGGGTAGGGGAAGGTGGGGAGTCCTGGAAGTCTGCCCACTTTTTTTTTTGTTTGTTTTTGAGACAGAGTCTCGCTCTGTCACCCAGGCTGGGGTGCAATGGTGTGACCTCGGCTCACTGCAACCTCCTCCTCCCAGGTTCAAGCAATTCTCCTGCCTCAGCCCCCCAAGTGGCTGGGCTTACAGATGCCCACCACCACACCCAGCTAATTTTTGTACGTTTATTAGAGATGAGGTTTTACCATGTTGGCCAGGCTGCTCTCCAACTCCTGACCTCAGGTGATCTGCCAGCCTGGGCCTCCCAAAGTGCTAGGATTACAGCGTGAGCCACCGCACCCGGCCCTGCTCACCATTTTTAGCACTGTTTCTAAACATTTTTCCAATCCCCCGTTTCTCATGTCTGGTAGCAACCAGGGAGCTTGGTGACCTAGGAAGCATTTTTAACTCACAGGGAAAAACCTAACTCCAGTAAAACTGAGTCAAAGGTTTACACACTTAAGCTATTATCGTCACATATTTTGATCACTTAAGCACTTACTGAACACCTACTATGTGCCATGCACTAAACTAGGGACAAAGGCCCCGGGGATACAAAGATGAGTGAGAACCCCAGATCTCTAGGAAATCAGGGTTTAATGCAAGAATCACATATGTTTAAAAATTTACAATACAACTTAGTGAAGGCTGTGATATGGAGATATGAGCAAAGTGCTGTAGTAGCACACACAAGAGTAACAAACTCACCCTGCCTGAAGGAAGGCATCATAGAAAAGGTTAACACAGGAGCTGTATGCTAAGGAAGAACTGGAGGCTTACCACTTGAGATACAGTGGGGTAATCTAAGCAAGAAGGAAAGGCTGTGAAAAGACAAATAACTGTGAGAGGCTATGGCATGTTCTCAATGAGAAACAGTTCACAGTGGATGCCGTGGGTAAAGCACCTGGAGCTGAGTCTGGACTCAGAGATAAATCAGGACCAGAATATGAAGAAGGGCCTCCAGGACATGCTGGGCAGCTGGACTCTGGCAAGGAGGAGCCAAAACACATTCTTAACTATAAGAGCGGCAACCCATTCCAAATTTGTTTTTGGATAAAAAGGATGGGGTAAGGGGAGTCCAGTGACAGACTAGTCAGAAAGCCTTGCAAAAGTCTAGGTGAGAGACCATGATGGCCTGAATTAAAGCATTATCATCTAGAAAAAAGTGACGAATCTGAAAAATATTACTAAGGCAAACATAACAGGACCTGGTGACTGGAGATGGAAAATAAGGAAGATGGAAAGTAGCTTTAAATGCCTGTGTGTGGTAGAACTTCATTAAAATATTTAAGGAGGAATACGTGGCTTAATTACATTGTCAGTATAAGAACTATTCTTTCAAGCTTAACAATCTTTGTTTAAACCTTTACTGAAAAGCTTCCTAAATATAATTTTCTAAGTATACTACAGTAATCACAAAGTCTTTTTTCTATATAAGAATCATCATAAATATCTGTTTTCGCTCTACAGTATAAAGTTTAGCTACAGATAGAACTCAACATACCCCAGGGGACATCCTAGAATTTGCTTCTCTGAACAAAAGCCTGATTATCAGATTTTCTTGTCATCGTCCCCTTTCTTAATCAACAGCGTGCAAACCATGTGAGTGCCTGACTTTCCAACCAGCAGAACATGGTGCTAACAAAATAATGCTCTTTCCTGGCTGAACCAAACTTACAGTTAAATTCCCTACTAATCTTAATATCAACAGAGATTGAAGTGGGGATGGCTGAGCGTACAAAATATAATAATCTTTTCACATTAAAAAACATTTGAAAAATTTCACATTAAAAATATCATAGAACTTTAGAAATACCAAAATGAACGTGACCAGTAGACAGCCTTTGCATCCTCGTATTTACTGAAGGGCACTTCCAAATTCATCGTCATCTCTGTCAAAGCCAAACTCAGGGCACTTTGTAAACAGATGAAACTTGTCTGTTGTCTTTCTTGTTTCTCACTTAAGCTCTCAAATCAGACTACAAATCTGTTTTTTTCTTTAAGAGTTTTTTTTTTTTTTTTTTGAGACAGACTCTTGCTCTGTCGCCAGGCTGGAGTGCAGTGGCACGATCTCGGCTCACTGTAAGCTCCCCCTCCAGGGTTTATGCGATTCTCCTGCCTCAGCCTCCCGAGTAGCTGGGACTACAGGCGCCCGCCACCACGCCCGGCTAATTTTTGTGTTTTTAGTAGAGACGGGGTTTCACCATGTTGGCCAGTCTGGTCTCGAACCCCTGACCTCAAGAGATCCGGCCGCCTCGGCCTCCCAAAGTGCTGGGATTATAGGCAGCACTGTAATTACAGGCGTGAGCTACTGCGCCCGCCTTTTTGTTTTGTTTTGTTTTGCTTTGAGACAGAGTCTTGCTCTCTGTCATCCAGGCTAGAGTGCAGCGGTGCAATCATAGCTCACCGCAACCTCAAACTTCTGGGCTCAAGGGATCCTTCCGCCTCAGCTTCCCAAGCAGGTGGGAACACAGGTGCACATCACCACCACGCTCAGCTCATTTTTAAATTTTTATTGGGGCAGGGGCGGGGGGAAGGTTCTGGCTTTGTTGCCCAGGCTGGTCTCCAGCTCCTGGACTCAAACAATTCTCCCGCCTCAGCCTCCCAAAGTGTTGGGATTGCAGTCTGAGCCACCACGACTGGCCCAAATCTGACTTTTAATCATACACCTTCCCTGAACTAGAAAAGGTAATACGGTATTTTTATTTAGGTTGTCTCTTGTCGGGCTGCACAAAAAAAAAAAGGTGGGGGGGAGTAAAGCAATATATTTAAAGTATAAATAAATGACAGGTGCTAACAGTATTCATTAAAGGGTTTCATCAACTACTTAGTTCAATACAGGCAGTGTTCAAGAGAGATTATTCATAATTAACTACGTGAGAATTTCCAGTTTCAAAGTTCACTGTAAAAACTTTTAAAACTACAACTACTATTCTAAGATGCTTCCAGCTTCTCCACTGAGAAACTAGGAATTACTTGATTTTAACTTCCTTAATACAGCTAAAAGTAAACAGTTTAATCAAAAAGCAAAACAAAGTATTACTTCAAATTAGCAAAACTGGTTTTCTTGTTCAATACATCTCTCAACCTTTCATAACAAATACTTATAATACAGTATGAATGTCAGCAAAAAGTGCATTACTCAAATATGCTTCCTAGTCCATTAATTATACTCAACTTTCCATAACTCGGCTGGGCTAAGAACCCCATAAAACTATACCAAAGTTTTCAGTATTTTTGCACAAGCTACCCAAAAAGCGTAAAATCACCTCCTTCCCGACACACATACTCAAAAACAATAGCATCCGTAATTACTTTATACACAAAAAATACAGGGCCAGGCACGAACACCGTGCCAAAAATAAACCACCACCAAAAAACACTTGGCCTGCAACTGGAGATTCTATTAATGGGCAACTGGTCAAAATTAAGCTTTCACATAAGAGAAAGCTTAACTTTTCTGCTTAAAATCATATTCTGAGACAGCTTTCAAAAGGAAAACAGAGTTCCACAAAAATGAATAGAAAAAAAGAGACCTCCTCCAAAGTCTCATTTGGGGGCGAATGCCCTCTCGGTGGAACTGGAGGCCCTGACCTCAGCCTCCACCCCATCTAGGCTGAGGAACTGAGAACTCCCAAGGAAGAGGGGCCCGGGCAGCCACGTCGTCCTACTCACCCCAGGGGGCGGCGGGAAGGAGGCAGGGTGAGCACGACATTCGCGCTCCGGCCTGGCGGCCGGGACCCCGGGGACTCAGGGGTAGGGGCCGGCCCCTCTCCCAGACCCTCGGGGTCTACTCACTCCGCAAGTGGCCAGCAAGAAAGCCATTCGCCAAGGCCCCCGCCCTCTGTGCCTCCAGGGGAGGTAGCCGGGGGCTGCTCCCGAGCACCCCTTTTTCTTCTCCCCTCGACCCGATCCCCGGACTGCGGTGCAGGCGGTCCTGACTGAGGTTCAGCCCGTCCCCCGGGACACCCCCTTCACCCCCTTCACCCCCCACCCCTTTCCCGTCCCCTCCCCGGCGGAGGGGTCGCCCCGATTGGCTGGCCCTGGCGGCTCCTGGCAAAGAGACCCCTGGCGATTGGCCATGGGTCACCTGCTGTAGGAGGTGAGAGGCAGACGATTGGCGGTTGGGCCAGTTTTGGGTGGAGAGGCCGAGGGAGCTGGCAGCTCGCGGGAGGGGTGCGCAGCGGCGGGAGGGCGTCCGGAGCGCCCCGCCCAGACCCGCGACCCAGCCGCCTCCGTGGGGGGCGGGGGTTCACCTTGGGGGAGTGCGCCTGGGGACACGCGGCTTCTGCGGCGCCGGCGCTGCTGGGGGAAAGGGAGGTTGCGCTCTGGGACGCTCAGCCTGGTTTCGGGGCTTCAGCCCCGCGGATTCCCACTGGGTAGCGGCTGGAGAAGGGCCCGCGGGCGCCAGCGTGCCTCACCTACACCCACCGGCTTCTAACGTGCCATCCAGTTTATGGCAGCTGTGGAGCCTGGTCCCCGGAGTTTCACCTTGATAACGGATTTTGCTTACTTCCGGAAAGTTGTGTCGCGTGGGGGTTGATGGAGTGAGGGGAGGAGGAGATACTATATCGGTAAACAAAAGCGTGAGCGCCTATATTTTTATTAATCCGGTGAGACATCGTGGGCTTGCTGTTGTGCCACAGCTCCATAAGGAATGTAGGTGGCTTGTAAAGATGCTTCAGGAATCCAAATGGCGCAAACTGCAGATTATATCAAAAGTCTGGACTTAAGAGGACCTCGACAGAGAATCACCCAAAATGCAGGGAATCACAAACATAAGTGATTAACTTATTGATCTGGAGGACTAGCTCCTTTTCCGCTCTTGCTGGTTTTTCTTATGGTTAGGTATCTTCCTATCCCGCCCCCTTTCAGGACTCTACTAAACGTCCAATTATCTTTTGTACTTTTATGTCTCTACTGGTACCCACTGCAAGACCTAGCACAGGGCACACTGCACAAACAGCGCGATGCTGGCCAGGCGCGGTGGCTCACTCCTGAAATCCCAGCACTTTGGGAGGCGGAGGCTGGGAGAGGCGGGGGAAGGAGGGAGGATTCGAGGCCAGGAGTTGAAGACCCCAAAAACAACAAAAAAAGGTGCAATGCTTGCTGAATAAATATGCTAACCTGCTGGACTCAGTGTTAAAGATACCTTCAGTTTGTTGTATGTAAATCACTTCAAAATGCCCAACACCAGATGCACTCTCCCCTTCCCCCTACCCACTCTAAAAGCTGGGTACTCTGCCAGGGCTCCCTGTCTCAGTAAATGAAACTGCTATCATCCACCCTAATACGCAAACCATAAACCTAGTAGTCCTCCTAGACACCTTCCCCATTTCACATTCAGTGCATCACCAAGTTCTGTCATTTTTACCTCCTAAATACACTCTCCATTCTGTCCATCTCTCTCCATTGCCACCACCCTATAACAGGTCCTGGCCTGTTGGAATAATCTTACTAAAGTCTTCTTGAATCTACTCTGGCTACTCCAATTCATTCTCAACACTAGAGCCAGAGCAGTATTTCTATAACCAATTTTATTACCCCTTCATTGCCTCCCCCAATTAAAGAACTTTAACTGCTTTCCACTGAGTTGTGCTTAGGATACAATTCAATATTTAACAATGGCTGACAAGGTTTAGCCTTACCTACCGCTTAGCTCCATCTTTTACCTTGTAGTACCTATTTTCTGCTTTGCACACAATGGCCTTTTTCAAACTCCTTTAATTTGCCAAGGACTTTCCAATTTTAGGGCCTTGGCGCATGCTGTTATTTCTTTTATACTGTCCCCTTGACATCAATCCCCACACTTCACTTATTTACTTCTACTCATCATCATTTCCTCCCTGCCAATGTCAGTTCTTGCTATCTTACATCGTCATAGCCCATGTAACTCTCCTTTGTAGAACTTACTACAGCTGTAATTTTACATTTATCTTAGTTATTTATTTAAATTTTTTTAGAGACAAAGTCTCACAGGTCTCATGTTGCCCATGCTGAACTCAAACTCCTGGGCTCAAGTGATCTTCCTGCCTCAGAAATAGCTGGGACTACAGGCGCACACACCACCTTACCTGAGTTATTCTTTTTAATTAACTTTATAGAGTCATAATTTACATGTGATAAAATGTATCCACTTTAAATGTACAATATATTTTCATAAACATATGCACACATGTAACCACCACGATTAAGAAATAAAGTATTTTCCATCACCTGGGAACTTCCCTCATGCTTCTCTACAGTCAATCCCATGAACCACTGCTCTGCTTTCTATTTGTGTTATTCTTTGATTAATGTTGATCTATACCACTAGACTGTAAGCTTAACGAAGTGAGGATCCTATCTAATTCTGTTCAGCATTATATCATTATTTAGTAGAATTCCTGGCACATACGAAGTCCTCAAACAGATTTCTTATGGTAATAGATTCTGAAAATAAACATTAATTCTCTGATAAATAACAATAAACTATAAACAATGGTGGAGGGGAAAAAAAACATCAATTTTGCCAGATGTCCATGGTCAGTATTTAACCTTCACTAATACTCTTTTAAATTTTCCTTTAATAGCAGTTAATGTTGTGCCTGGGCAGCCCTAGGGACTTAATTCCATATTAGCTGATCAAACGGTTCTCTAAGCCAGTAAAAAAAAAAAAAAAAAAAAAAGCCTACATCTCTAATTCTGCCCATGCACTGTACTGTTTGACCCTACAAGGGACAAAATACTTATTTACTCTATGTTACAATTACATATTAAGAGATGCCAGCTCCAATCCAAAGTCTACATTTTCACAATTTAATACTACAGATAGCTATTTGTTGCAGACATGCAATTCTCATTTTCCTAATCTTAGTGTAAAGTTAGTGTTCATAAAAGAGGTAGCATTTAAAATAAAAAGTAATTACACAACACAAAGCAAATTTACCCATCTTGTACCAAGAAGCTATAACCAAATTTGGCAACTCATGCTGTTAAAAAAACAGAAACAAAACTAAAAGCTGTTAAAGCCTATTATGAGTTGAAAAAGGAAAAAACCCCAAAGCTGTTTCAAAATAAAGTGACCAGTGCCTAAAACTCATATGTGACAGGTGATTTCCAACCCATGAATCAGATTTCCAACTCTTCTTTCAACTATATAACTAAGGCTATTAGGTGATTAAATTACTATTTTAGACTGTTGAGCAAAAAAAAAATAGGCCGTGCCTATTACCTATACCTATTAAGATGAAAAGAAAATTTTAATTATACAGAATTCATGTACTACTTTCAAAAATTTTTCTGCTAGGGAGCCCAATAATGTTTACCTAGAAATCACATTCTGCTCTAATGTCACCCCAGACACAGATGAAAAATGCTTTGGTAGCAATGGAAGAAAAAAAAGAAGAAAAAATATAAAAAGCCAAATTAGGTGAGACTTCAGGTTTCTGATCTAGCATGTTAAGAAACTTAGAAGTACCACTGTGTTCTAACAACATGTAAAACACTGAACAAACTGAAAAACCAACAACTGTTCTTAACTCTGTAAGAGAAGTGAGGTCACAGGGAAAACTGATGACTCCCAAATTAGGAGACCAACAGGCAAATATAGAGAATCACAACTTCCCTGAGCAAAAACTCACAAGGGGCAACCTCCATGGGAACCAGCACCCATGGGAACCACTTAATGAACAGTAAATATATTTTATCTTCCTTATGATTTTCTTAATAACATCTTCTTTTCTCTTTATTGTAAGAATACAATATATAATACAGAAAACATATAAAATATGTATTAATCAACTGTTTATGTTATTGGCAAGGCTTCCAGTCAATAGCAGGCTATGAGTAGTTAAGCTCTGGAGGAGTCAAAAGTTGTATGTGGGTTTTCAACTGCACGGGTGGTAGGGAAACCTGATCTGTATTTGACAAATTGGTGGAAGCTCAGTGCAGACAAGTCTGAAAGATATAAACTCCAGGGACATGTAGTAATATGGGCAGGGGGGAGAACCACAGTTTTGTGAGTTTTACCTCCAGGAGCTCAATAAGGGTCATCACAGTGAATACTGGGGGAAAAAAAATCCCCTAATGCGTCCCCTCTAGGCTTCTTTGTAGGAGAAAGTATTTAATATATACCCAACTTCAGTCCTCTCTAGCCCTACTCTCCCACTTACAGGATGGACTTGAGAAGCACATGTGAAGTTGACAAAAGTTCACTAACAGACTGAAAATGTTTCCCCTCCATGCACACCTTACCACCACATTACTAAAGGTCCACTCACAGCAGTTTCTGTTACCTAATGCATCATGTATGGCTATCAAGAAAAAATTATAAGACATATTAAATAGGAAAAAACACAGCTGGAAGAGACACAGTAAGCATCGAAACTAGACTTGGATGTTGCAGGGATGTTGGAATTGTTACACCAGAAATTTGAAATAATTATGATAAATATCCTAAGAACTCTAATGGACAAAGTAGAAACCATGCAAGAACAGATGGGCAATGTAAGCAGAAAGACAGAAATTTTAAGAAAGAATAAAAAAGAAATGCTACTGATCAAAAAGACTGTAACAGAAATGAAGACTGCCTTTAATGGGCTTATTAGTAAACTAGACAAAGCTGAGGAAAGAATATCTGCACTTGAGAGTATCTCAACAGACACCTACAAAACCGAGAAGCAAAAGGAAAAAAAGACTGGAAAAAAAAAAGCCTGGAACAAAATATCCAATAACTGTACGACAACCACAAAAGCATAATGGGAACACCAGAAGAAGAAACAGAGAAAAGAACTGAAGAAAAATTTGAAACAATGACAGAGAATTTCTACAAATTAATGTGAGACATTAAACCGCAGATGAAGAAAGCTCAGAAAACACCAAGCAGGATAAATGGCATAAAAATGGCATAGACACCCTTTCCTGTGCCCTTTTAAGGTTGACGCAGTGCTTTAAGGGGCTAACACAGAAGGGTAAAGGAAGTCTCCATAAACCCCAGAGAAGAGATTGTAAAGCTCCTCTTTAGAACCTTTCTGGAGTCACACCTGAGAAAACAAAAACAAACAAGCAAAAAACCCTGACAGCTAGGCATATAATTTTCAAACTACTGAAAATCAAAGATAAAGAAAAAAATCCTGAGAGAAGCTAGAGGGGGAAAAAACTCAACTTGCCTACAGAAGAGCAAAAATAAAAATTACATCTGACATCTCCTCAGAAACTATGTAAGCAAGAAGAGTGGGCCAGGCGTGGTAGCTCACACCTGTAATCCCAGCAATTTGGGAGGCCGAGATGTGCGAATCACGAGGTCAGGAGTTCGAGACCAGCCTGGCCAACATGGTGGAACCCCCGTCTCTACTAAAAATGCAAAAAATTAGCTGGGCATGGTGGTGGGCGCCTGTAATCTCAGCTATTCAGGAGGCTGAGGCAGGAGAATCACTTGAACCCAGGAGGCGGAGGTGGCAGTGAGCTGAGATCGCGCCACTGCACTCCAGCCCAGGCGACAGAGTGAGACTCCATCTCAAAAAGAAGAAAAAAAAGAAAAGTGGAATGAAATATTTCTTTAAAGTACTGAGAGAGATCAGGCACAGTAGCTCAGGCCTGTAATCCCAGGATTTTGGGAGATTGAGGTGGGTGAATCACTTAAGGTCAGGAGTTTGAGACCAGCCTGGGCAACATGGCAAAACCCTGTCTCTACTAAAAATACAAAAATTAGCAGGCGTGGTGGCGCACTCCTGTAATCCCAGCTACTTGGGAGGCCAAGGCACAAGAATCGCTTGAACCTGGGAGGTGGAGGTTTCAGTGAGCCCAGATGGCACCACTGTATGGCAGCCTGGGCGACATAGCGAGACTGTCTCCAAATAAAATAAAGGACTGAGAGAGAAAAAAATACCAACCTAGAATTCTGTACAAAACTAAAGATATATTTACCATATGATCCAACAATGGCACTCCTTGGTATCTGCCCAAGGGAGATGACAACATACATCCACATAAAACTTGTATACAATGTTTATAGTAACTTCACTCATAATTGCCAAAACTTAGAAGCAACCAAGATATTCTTCAGTAGGTGAATGAATAGGCGGTACATCCAGATAATGAAATATTATTCAGCACTAAAATGACTGGAGCCTGTGATCCCAGCTACTCAGGAGGCTAACGCAGGAGGATCACTTGAGCCCAGGAATTCAAGGCTGCAATGAGCTATGATTGGGCCACTGCACTCCAGCCTGGGCAACAGAGTGAGACACCTTGTCTCTTAAAAAAGGAAGAAGAAAGAGGAAACAGGAAAGAAGAGGAAGGAAGGAAGACAGGGAAGAAAAGAGGGAGGGAAAGAAATGAGCTATCAAGCCATGAAAAGATGAGGATGAAACTTAAATGCCTATTACTAACGGAAAGAAGCCCATTTGAAAAGGCTGCATACTGTGTGATTCCAATGATATGACATTCTGGAAAAGGCAAAACTATGGAGATGTTAAAAAGTTCAGTGGTTGCCAGGGATGAGGGAGGAGGGAAGGAGGAACAGGTGGAGCACACTGGATTTTTAGGGTAGCAAAATTACTATGTATGACACTATAATGGTGGATAAATGTCATTATAAAATCGACCAAACCCATACACAACACCAAGAGTGGACTCTAATGTAAACTACGGACCTTGAGTGATAATGATGTGTCAATGTAGGTTCATTAATTGTAACAAACCACTCTGGTGGGGGATGTTGATAGTAGGGGAGGCCGCACATGCGTAGGGGAAGCGGGTATAGGGAAAATCTCTGTACATTCTGCTCAATTTTGCTGTGAACCTCAAACTGCTCTAAAAAATAAAGTTGTTGTTGTTGCTGTTGTTGTTATAGTTAATCAAATCATATTTACCCTAGGCATTTGCCTAGCAAGTCAGGCCAAATGAATGAAGCAGATAACCTTAAAAGACAACTCTTGGAAACAGGATACACAGTTTCACTATTTTGCCTGACTGGTTCCCAGAAGTCTCAAAACTAAAGTCAGTCAATTTCCATGTAGAAACTTTAGCCAGATATCACAAATACACCACCAAGCATGTATACGGTAGAAGCAGTCCCTACTTTATGATCAAGGCCACCATTGCTCCAAAAGTTTGTAAACTGTTTGCAATTTTTAATGCATTATCCAACAGAAAGAAATATTTGGTTCAAGGTTAGGAATGAATACCCTCTATACAACCCCACAACGCCTTGTTCACCACTGTATCCTTAGCATCCCTTCAAACAAGGAATGGCATGTATTAGGTACTTAAGAAATGTCTGTTGAATAAATAAAATGTCAGGTACTATGCTATAAAATGGCAAAATAAACTACTAAAAAATGTTGAAAATGGTGAGTCTGGGAAGTAGGAAAGTACAATGACAGGAGGCCATATTTTTGCTATATGAGCCTTTCAGTACCACTTAATTTTCAAAATTATTTTAGATAGCAATTATTGCTCTGATTTTTACAGGTAACATTCTGTGTTGGTCACTTTATTCTGAAAAAACATGTAGATTTTGTTGAAAATGCTTGAGTTGCCAAATTTGATTAGAAATACATAACTCCTTGCCACAAGATGAGTGAAACTGCTTTGTGTTGTCTAACTACTTCTATCTATCTATCTATCTATCTATCTATCTATCTATCTATCTATTTATTTTAGAGATGGAGTCTCATTATGTTGACCAAGCTACTCTTAAACTTCTGGCCTCAAGCAATCCTGCCTTGGCCTCTCAAAGTGCTGGGATTAGTGGCGTGAGCCACCATGCCAGGCAATCTTAAATCTTTATACTAGACTAGTTCCATAAAGTCAAGGGCTACATGTAGTTGTATTCAATTATATCCTCTACAACTAGTACAATGCATGAAACATAGTAAATGCTTAAAAAATATTTACCAAATAAATAACTTTCCTGTATGCTCTAAATGTTCCAAATTGAGCATGCACTATTTAACTGGCTACTTCTCCATTCCACTTTACCTGTGGAAGAGGTGACACATCTGTATTGCAACCATTTCCTTTGGGAGACAAAGGACTTCAAGGGAGAACGAATACACCTATTTTTCTACATGATATGAAAATATAATCTAACAAGGCCAGGGAAAACAATACAGTTGTGATAAACCGATCCTTATATACTGAGAAATTAAAATGGATGCTCAAAAAGCTAATCTTCAGTGAAGTAGTTCAAGAAAAATGCTCAAAAGATTTTTATTAATCTACTCAGACACATAATCCATTATAGCTATTGAGGGTAGAATCAAGGCATCCCAATACTAAAGATTCATTTTTCAGCAACTCTCCTAAATTGTACCTTAAATACAATTAAGTTATGTTAATCTATAACGAAAGTTGGGCAGACATGTAATTATCATACCTGATACTTCTTTTGGGAAAAAAAAAGGTTTTACAATGTCTCTATTGATAATGACTTGTAATTTTATTAGGCTGGTGCAAAAGTAATTGGACCACCCTAAAACCACATCTCCTTTTCATATAATGATGTTTTACTCACAGACTCAATGGTATTTCTAATGAGGCTTGTACCAGCCCACCCTGTTCCCTTCAGCCCTCCCTTTCCCTTGTATACTCTTATAACCTTGTATACAAGGTATCATGGCCTTTCTCTCTAGGGGCTTTAGATAAAAGCTAGTGACGACAAAAAAAAAAAAAAATTAACATAAAATTACAGGCAGTACCAATGAAATTCCAATTTCAGCCAGGTGTGGTGGCTCATGCCTCTAATCCCAGCACTTTGGGAGGCTGAGGCAGGTGGATCACTTGAGGCCAGGAGTTCAAGACCAGCCTGGCCAACAGGGTAAAACCCCATCTCTACTAAAAACACAAAAAACTAGCCAGGTGTGGTGGTGCGTGCCTGTAGTCCCAGCTACTTAGAAGGCTGAGGTGAGAGGACTGCTTGAGCCTGGGAGGTCGAGGCTGCAGTGAGCTGAGATTGCACCACTGTACTCCAACCTGGGAAACAGAATGAGACTCCGTCTCAAAAAAAAAAAAAAAAAAAAAAATTCCAATTTGATAACCACCAAAAATAAAATCTACATGAAGTAGCCACAAAAACCATACATATGAGGACAATTAATGCCCAATTTCTTAGCCCAAAGAATAATCATAGAAACCATTTAAATTTTTGAAATATCAACTGATGTATAGCATAAAGTTAAGAAACATAAAGGTCAGTCAGGCGCGGTGGCTCACGCCTGTAATCACAGCACTTTGGGAGGCAGAGGTGGGTGGATCACAAGGTCAGGAGATTGAGACCATCTTGACAACATGGTGAGACCCCGCCTCTACTAAAATACAAAAAATCAGCTGGGCGTCGTGGTGCACATCTGTAATCCCAGCTACTTGGGAGGCTGAGGCAGGAGAATTGCTTGAACCTGGGAGGCGGAGGTTGCAGTAAGCCGAGATCACACCATTGCACTCCAGCTTGGGTGACAGAGCAAGACTCTGTCTCAAAAAAAAAAAAAGAGAAAAAGAAAGAAACATAAAGGTCTATACAACTCAGTTAAACATCTGCATGAGCATCTTCAAACTTGAATCTAAAATACTTGAATCTACAACAATCTCCTGTGTTTTCATTCCTGATAGCCTATAAAAATTTGTATAGCCACACACTGTTACTCAGCTTAGTAACAACCTTAAAACCAAGTTACTTCATTGCCCATATTTGTACTTATAATCAAACTGGCACAACATACTACTTGTCATAGAAGTGACACTGACCAAGTAAATGGCATATCTATATGAAGTCAAAGCCAACTGACCCCATGGCATGTGCTATGCCAAGGAAGTCTTCCCAGTAGTTAGAACAGAGAACACATCATCACGTTCCACATGGTAGTGTACGTATGTCATAGTTTAAAAGAATCTATACCCTAACGATGAGTACCATTTGCACATTGTAAGTAGTGACCCACTTTTAGCAAGGCAATATCATTCATCACATTAAATTAATGTTAATTTAGATTGTATTGCTTTGTATTATGTTTAACTTGAAATTTTCTTTTGGATGTATAGTTCTATAAGATTTTAAACCTAAAAAATTTACACCTGGCTTTATGTTTGCCCACATTAAATAACATTATACTTAATACTTTACTTATATATTGGCATTCACAGCCTGCAAGAGTTTTTTCTAAAATGGGCCCCAATTTACTCAAGTTTATAAAACTGATTTTTATACCTGTATGACATCCAGACAAGCTGCTATAACTCATATTTTTTACAATATAGGAAACTATAAAACCTACAGGATGTAACATCCTGAGTCTTCTTGTGATGATCAATCCCTTACTTGATAATCTCTCAGCATTTAGTTTGTACTAAAGCTTACTAGGGTTAAAAAAAAAAAAGAATCTGAAAAGTTCCCCTCTATTAATCAGTATCATCAGATATCTACTGAATGCCTCTTACTGGTTAAGAAAGAGAGGATTAAGAAGCACAGCACGCCCTCTGGTCTCCCCTTCAAGGAACTTCCTCTTTGGCTGAATGTAAAGACATGAAAAGATACCATAAGCTGACATACAACAAATTTAGAATGACTACTGGAATTCAGCTTCCATAAGAGCCGAAAGGATGAAGAAGATCTTAGTTATCTTCTGTCACCTTCAGTCTATCCTAATTACAATTTGCTTTGGGGAGGAAAGAGAAGACAAGCTTAGTCTTAGCCATGCTGAAGTGGAATTCCAGGGAGACATCTAACTGGCAAAATCCAAAAGGAAAAAAAGTGAGACTAAAGCTACATATCAAAAGAGATATAAAGATTAGGGGGAAAAAGAGTCATCTTACAGAAGGTTTAGCTGAATCCATGAAAACGGTGGGGGCTGCTGAAGGGTGATGGAATTAGGTCACAATCTGCAAGAAAACATCCTGTGGTCAAGGTAATGTATGTAGTGTTAACCTTGGGAAAGAGCAAGAATATGTTTTCTTCGAAATATTCAAAGCAGAGAAATAAAGTACAGGTGAAGTCACTAAGAACTGTTGAAGAAGAAAGCCTTCATTTATGAAGAAGGGAACAGGCTATAATTCGATACTGATTACAATGAAAACAGTCTACTGTGAGGATTCAATTGGAAACCAACAAGAAGTCAGTAAGATGACTACTAAATCGTAACAGATACCCAGTTAAAGTCAGACAAAAATTGTGATAGATACAACCATCTTGCTTTTGTGACCTCTAACAGTTCTAGAAGCAGAAAAATCAGACAACGGGGGCCCTGGGGAATGAAGACCAGAATGGTATACAGACGAACTATCCAATGACAAGAAATTCTAAAGGTGATAGCAAAAACAATATATAAATTTTTAAATTTTTGTGGGTACATAGTAGGTATATATATTTTTGGAGTATAAATATTTTGATATAGGCATGAAATAAGTAATAATCACATCAGGGTAAATAGGTATCCATCACCTCAAGCATTTATCTTTTGTGTTACAATCTAATTATACTCTTCTAGTTATTTTTAAATGTATAATTACTGTTGACTATAGTCACCCTGTTGTGTTATCAAGTAGATCTTATTCGTTCTCATTTTTTTGTACCCATTAACCATCCCCACTCCCCCTACACTTATACGCCCAACCACCCTTCCAGCCTCTGGTAACCATAATTCTATTCTCTAGCTCCATGAGTTCGATTGTTTTAATTTTTAGCTCCCACAAATAAGTGAGAACATGTGAAGTTTGTGCCTGTCTTATTTCACTTAACATCATGACCTCCAGTTCTATTCAAGACAGGATTGCAAATGACAGGATTTCATTCTTTTTCACAGCTGAATAGTATTCCATTGTGTTTATATACCATGTTTTCTTTATCCATTCATCTGTTGGACACCTGGGTTGCTTCCAAATCTTGGCTATTGTGAATAGTGCTGCAATAAACCTGGGTGTGCAGGTATCTCTTCCGTATATTGATTGCCTTTCTTTTGGATATATACCTAGCAGTGGGATTGCTGGATTATATGGTAGCTCTATTTTTAGTTTTTTGAGGAACCTTCAAACTGTTCTCCACAGTGGCTGTACTAATTTACATTCCTACTAATAGTGTATGTGGGTTCCCTTTACTCCACATCCTCACCAGTACTTTGTTATTGCCTGTCTTTTGGAAAAAAAAAAAAAAAGCCATTTTAACTGGGGTGAAATGATATCTCATTGTAGTTTTGGTCTGCATTTCTCTGATGATCAATGATGTTAGGCACCTTTTCATATACCTCCTTGCCATTTGTATGTCTTCTAACAAAACCAGTGATAAAGCAGCAGACCAGAAGGTCTCCACTGGGAAATGGGATGAGCAAAACAAGAAAGTACTAAATGGCCAGGAAAAACAGAGAAGTAGGGGTCAGATCAAAATGAGAGAATAAAAGTTCAGAAGTAAAGTGATAGAGGAAGATGAAGAAAAGAAAACTGTTGTCAAAGAAAACGCTTTTTAACTTAATATTTTGCAGGTGGTTCAGCTCTTAGTAATGACAAGACCAATGGAGTGGAGTTTAATGGCTAAAGTAGATAAAGTTCAATGAAAAAGGAAAACATGGCTGGGAATGGTGGCTCATGCCTATAATCTCAGCACTCTCAGAGGCCAAAGTGGGCAGATGGCTTGAGCCCAGGAGTTCGAGACCAGCCTGGCCAACATGGCAAAACCGCATCTCTACAAAAAAATACAAAAATTAGCCAGGCGTGGTGGTGCATGCCTGTAGTCCCAGCTACTCAGGAGGTTGAGGTGGGAGGATCACTTGAGCAGGGGAGGCAGAGGTTGCAGTGAGCTGTGATTGTGCCACTGCAATGAGTGAGACTCTGTCAAAAAAAAAAAGGACATATAAATACAATGAGGTCAAGAATTAGACTGGGAAGCACTATTATGTAGTAGGAGCTTCCTCATCTATAAACTGAAGTGGGTGGGGGGAGTTTTGTGAGAATTTTTTTTTAAAAAAAGCAAAAGAAGAGAACCTAACATGGCAGTAGATACTAGGATATGTTTTAAAGGTAGGTTGCTGAGATCACTGCGTCTCCTCTCCTATACCCCTTTGGAAGACAGCTCCGTGAGTGCCCATCCCACAGTGCCTAACAGACAGTATGTTATACATCTCAAAATATTCAATAAACAACAATGGAAAAGCAATCTCTACATCAACCATTTGTTCATTCATTCCTTCAGTTATTTCTTCATTTAACTAACATTTACTGAGTGCTACTGAATACCAGGCACTGGCAGAGGGAATGGTAGGAACAGTAGTTGCATTGTAATGGCAACTAACATTTACCAAGTTTTTACTATAGCCAGGCATTATTTCAACCAGTTCTCATCCAATATTAGTTTATCAAGTTCTAGCAAGTTTACGTTAGTTTATTTAACCACTAAAACAACTCTATGAAGTAGGTACTCTTATTATCCTCATTTTATAGATGAGGCCACTGAAACTCAGAGACAGTAAGTTGAATGTTAATGGTTAAATGTAAGTGGTGGGCTCTGGGATACAAACACAGACATTCTGGCTCTAGAGTGAAGTTCTTTACCACACTTCACTACATCTGAGAAAATAATCTTTTGCCAGTCAAATGAACATTAATTCCATATTTCTAAATGTCCTATCTTCTCCATGCATTAAATGTAGGAAAAAAACCTCTTGTATTACATGTACTTTTAAATATCAAAGCTATTAGAAGTCTAAGACTTCTCAAAGTTATCTTTTTCTGCCCATTATTCCCAAAGACATACAAGCTCTCTTCTTAGCAAAAGCTGAAAAATTCCAATATTGGATCTAGTTAGGAACCTGAACTTATGATGTCAACATCAGCTGATAACAAATAAACAAGAAGAATATGATAAGGAGATAGTGAATTGTGCAAATACTATAGTATTCAAAGGAAAGAGATCATTTTGAACTTGGGGGACTGGGGAAGGAAAGGCCAGTCGGCAGAGGGTTCATAGAAGAGGTCAGTTCTAAACTAGGCTTTGAAAAAAAGGGTAGAAGACATTTCACAGAGAAAGGACATCACACACAAGAATGTGGAGGCCACAAATGAAAAAATGTATTTGAAGGAAAGCAAGTAAGCAATAGCACTCTAGGTTTATGTAGGGGTATAGTGGCAGAAATGCCTACAAGGGCAGGTGGCTCTTGTTGAATGTTGAATGTCAGTCTAACCAACAATGGGGGGGCGGGAAATCTCATCTGCCACATTCAGTCTAATATGATCACTAAAACACTTATCCTCCCCTCTTAGGCCAGGTGTGGTGGCTGAGGCAGGAGAATTGCTAGAACGCACGGGGTGGAGGTTGCAGTGAGCCGAGACAAACCACATCTAACTAGATTTACTTTCTGGGGTACAAAGTGAGACTCTGTCTCAAAAAAACAAAAAACAAACAAACAAACAAAAAACACTTATCCTCCTCTTACAGGATCACAAATTTGCTAAAATGATGCTATAGTCATTTATGAAACTGCCTAAATTTAAAAGAAATCTACAGGAATTACAAATTGCTTTTAAAAGGCATAACTCACAGAGTAGCTTAAAGATTTCCTACTTCAATTTCATATTCATTTCTTAAAGTCCCCTAATAACCACATCCTTTAATAATGTTTTTTAAGCCTCTACTGAATACTTTCAAGTGATGGGGGGTTTACTATCTTGTAGGGCCTAAGATACCCTATGTCACCTTATCTAATCAAGTCAATTCCTGATATAGAACAAAGTACAGAGAAAGGGTTATAAAACATGTTTTCTACAATTAAATTTTCTAAATTAAAACAAAATCCCCTATGTACCACAAATATAAGCTCTTTCACTGGAGAATAAACATAGAAAAATATCTTCAGTGTAGTACGGCAGACGTTAGTTGCATGTCACCCAACATCTGTTTTTCCCTATTCTGACTTTGGTGCGGGTCGGGTTGGGTAGGATGAACACACCTTCTACCCTATCAGCAATGTGTTTCTAGTGAGGCCAGTAACATCCCAGCTCCAGGGTAGAATCTATGACTGTGAAATTGTGACTGGTCAGGATTTGACACATGGCCAAAGCTAGGGTGATGAGCAATAATTGTGTTACTCCTATTAAGGTCTAGAAAGAATAGCCTCCTATGGACTCGGTTCCAAAAATGGGAGGCTGACATTGCTACAACCACCTTACCACCACCAAGGGAGAACCTAACCGAAAATGAAGCCAATGCAAAAGTGGAACGTAGAAATAGAGATGGGAGATCTGAGTCCTCATGACATGAATTACCTAATTCAAACCACATCTAACCAGATTTACTTTCTTCTTCATGAATCAGTTTGGGTTGAGTTTTCTTTCACTACCATACAAAAGAGTACTAACTGACACATACGGTAATAGCCAAATCCTTTAACAAGAAAATGAGGTGAACTTCTCAGTATTTACCTATTATCATGCATAATTATGTAATTTGGTTGTATTGATAACTGACTACAGATATTAAATTCTTAAAATAAATCTGGCATATTTTAACATAGAATTTCACTTTCAACATTGTCTTGCACTGTCTTGTTTCTAGACAAAAATCAGTATTTTACTCTGCAGAAAGCAGGAGAAAATAAATGAGTATAACTTTACTATAACTGTAAAGGAAAAATAAGCAACTCAGAAATTATAAGTTCCTATTACATCATACCACAGTTATTTAAAAAAAAAAAACAGAAAACAGACAAAAAAAGAAAGCAACAACTAATGAACTATCTGGAAACCATGTAAAGACCCTTACTTGAAGCTGGAGAGTATGTCGAAGAATTGTTTCTTCTAAGGCATGGATCCACTTCTCTCGCTCATCAGCATCACGGGCTGGAATAAAAGATTATACATTAAAATTAAAAGTTTAATTCTATAATATATCTCCATATTTGAAAATATCATTTTAAAACTATGATGGCTAACAGAAAAGGTTTTTAGTTGTACCATTTCCTTAATAGGTTCAGCTTGATCTATTAATATTTTTTACAGATATGCAATCTACTTGCAACAATTTATAAGAAAGGGAATAATTGTGTTCAATAATAGCAGGCTACATAGTTCAGACCAACCTTCCCACTGAGAACAACTAGAAAAGCTAGACTGATTTTTAAAAAACAACTGGTTGAAGGCATCACAAACCAACAAGGTAATAAAGAATTACCAAGCCAAGATCTGGGAGAAGACAAAAAATTTAGAAGATAAACCTTGTATTTAGGGACACTTCTCATGGAGGCATTGCAAATTCCAGGAGAGGAATTGCAGACCGGACAATGCACTTAAAAGCTTGTCAGTGTGTGGCGGAAGCTGGTATATGAGAACTCTACTTTCTGTTCAATTTTGCTGTGAACCTAAAACTTCTTTAATTTAAGAACAAAAAAAAACTGGCTGGGTGCAGTGGCTCATGACTGTAATCCCGGCATTTTGGGAGGCTGAGGCGGGCGGATCACCTGAGGTCAAGAGTTCAAGACCAGCCTGGCCAACATGGTAAAACCCCATCTCTACTAAAAATACAAAAATTAGCCAGGCATGGTGGCGGGTCCCTGTAATCCCAGTAACTCAGGAGGCTGAGGCAGGAGAATCACTTGAACCCGGGAGGCGGAGGTTGCAGCGAGCCAAGATCGTGCCACTGCACTCCAGCCTGGGCAACAGAGGGCGACTCTGTCTCAAAATAAATAAATAAAATAAAATAAAATAAAAAAACAAAAAAAACCAACCACACAAGCCTTTTCAGGCCAGAAGTTGGAAGCCAGGGCCCACCAACAATGGGAGCTCTGGTAAACAGTCCATGTTCTAGTTGGGACCCCAAACAACTTCTCTGTGGGAGTAGTGATAAACTAGAATTAAAACAATTGCTTGGTCATATGGGTGGCCCAGAAAAATCTTGATGCCTGAAATTGATTTAAATGATCACAGATTTTTAGTGACGCCAGGCATCTACTAGCAAAAGCAAATGAAAATCTTTTCTGTAGGAAGATAACATCATCTTAGCTGCTAAATTAAATTTACATAAACAATTTTTAAAATACAATGTCTAGCACATAAGCAAAGATAACCAAGTACACATAAATGGAGACACTTTTGGAGACAAAACCACACATAAATGAGAACCAAAAGACAACAGAAACAGATCAACAGGAGCTCCAGATTATTGCATAAATGACATAATTTTTTCCTTTTTTATTTTTAGGGTTTTTTTCCACTTAGATTTATAAAATAATCAAATCAAATATAAATTCCAAAAGTGACAAATAATCAAAATTAAGAATTTAATAGATGAGTTCAACAGCAGATTAAGTACAACCAAAGAGACAATTACAGAACTGGGAGCAGTTAGAAGAAACCCATGAGAACAAAAGACAGTAAGTCAAAGAGATAGAAAATATAGAAGTAGCTCTCCCTCTCCCTCTCCCTCTCCCTCTCCCCACGGTCTCCCTCTCTTTCCACGGTCTCCCTCTCATGTGGAGCCGAAGCTGGACTGTACTGCTGCCATCTCGGCTCACTGCAACCTCCCTGCCTGATTCTCCTGCCTCAGCCTGCCGAGTGCCTGCGATTGCAGGCGCGCGCCGCCACGCCTGACTGGTTTTGGTGGAGACGGGGTTTCGCTGTGTTGGCCGGGCCGGTCTCCAGCCCCTAACCGCGAGTGATCCGCCAGCCTCGGCCTCCCGAGGTGCCGGGATTGCAGACGGAGTCTCGTTCACTCAGTGCTCAATGGTGCCCAGGCTGGAGTGCAGTGGCGTGATCTCGGCTCGCTACAACCTACACCTCCCAGCCGCCTGCCTTGGCCTCCCAAAGTGCCGAGATTGCAGCCTCTGCCCGGCCACCACCCCGTCTGGGAAGTGAGGAGTGTCTCTGCCTGGCCGCCCATCGTCTGGGATGTGAGGAGCCCCTCTGCCTGGCTGCCTAGTCTGGAAAGTGAGGAGCATCTCTGCCCGGCCGCCATCCCATCTAGGAAGTGAGGAGCGCCTCTTCCCGGCCACCATCACATCTAGGAAGTGAGGAGCGTCTCTGCCCCGCCGCCCATCATCTGAGATGTGGGGAGCGCCTCTGCCCCGCCGCCCCATCTGGGATGTGAGGAGCGCCTCTGCCCGGCCGTGACCCCGTCTGGGAGGTGAGGAGCATCTCTGCCCGGCCGCCCCGTCTGAGAAGTGAGGAGACCCTCTGCCTGGCAACCACCCCGTCTGAGAAGTGAGGAGCCCCTCCGCCCAGCAGCTGCCCCGTCTGAGAAGTGAGGAGCCTCTCCGCCCGGCAGCCACCCCATCTGGGAAGTGAGGAGCATCTCCGCCCGGCAGCCACCCCGTCCGGGAGGGAGGTGGGGGGTCAGCCCCCCGCCCGGCCAGCCGCCCCGTCCGGGAGGGAGGTGGGGGGGTCAGCCCCCCGCCCGGCCAGCCGCCCCGTCCAGGAGGTGAGGGGCGCCTCTACCCGGCCGCCCCTACTGGGAAGTAAAGAGCCCCTCTGCCCGGCCAGCCGCCTAGTCCGGGAGGGAGGTGGGGGGGTCAGCCCCCTGCCCGGCCAGCCGCCCCGTCCGGGAGGTGAGGGGCACCTCTGCCCGGCCGCCCCTACTGGGAAGTGAGGAGCCCCTCTGCCCGGCCACCACCCCGTCTGGGAGGTGTGCCCAGCAGCTCATTGAGAACGGGCCAGGATGACGATGGCGGCTTTGTGGAATAGAAAGGGGGGAAAGGTGGGGAAAAGATTGAGAAATCGGATGGTTGCCGTGTCTGTGTGGAAAGAAGTAGACATGGGAGACTTTTCATTTTGTTCTGCTCTAAGAAAAATTCTTCTGCCTTGGGAAAAAAAAAAAAAGAAAATATAGAAGTAAGGGTAAGCAATACAGCGTATGAGAAAATGTAACACACATGTGATTGGAACCCCAGAAGAAGACAAAAGAGAGCATGGCACGGAAGCACTGTCCGGCTGAGAATTTTCCAAAACTGATTAAAGACATTCAGAAGTCCTAGGAATCCCAAGCAAGATAAATCAAAGAAATCCACAAGTTGGGCACATCTCAGTAAAAATACTGCAAACCAAAGATATAGGAAATATCTTTAAAACAGCCAGGGAGAAAAAAGGACAGGTTACTTTCAAAGAAACAACAATTAAATTCAGGTAGGCTCTCAAAAGAAACAATGAGAACCAGGAGACAATAGAGTACGACATTTAATGGCTAAAAGAGAGTAACTGTCAATTTAGAATTCACTGAAATATATCCTTTATGAATTAAGATGAAATAAACTCATTTTCAGACTGACAAAACCAGAATCTGCTATCGGCAGATGCTCATTAAATAAAATTCTAAAAAGTATTCTTTTCTAGGCATAAACAATGCCTGATGGAAGGTGGTAGGAGCTGCACAGAATGAAGAGCAACAGAAATTATAAGTATGTGGCTAAAACTAAATATTCTCTACATACAATCATAATATTTAATAATATCTTATGGGGGTTTTTTCTGGCTCTCAGTGTCCTGTTTTTATTGTTTTGCAGCAGCACACCTAACACAGAACATAATTACAAATACTCACTGTGCAAAAGAAGAGCTAGTGCTTAAGTACAAATGGGAAATACAATTCCTTTTATTTAAATAAATACTTAAACACAACTCAGGTCCTATAAGCATCTGGACTCTAGGTCTGAGCTGGAGTTGCCTCGCCTGTGTGCTCACAATGACGTCATGATTTTCCCACCCCCAGTAATCAATACATGGAATCAGGTGCCAAAGGGGAATGTGATCACAATGAACCCCTTTTCTAGAGCCTACCTCAGCCCTCTACAGACATGATCTCTGGCCAGGACAAAGATGACCAGAATTTCTTGAAGGTCCATAATCTACAATAGTTAAGTATTCTACATGATTCTCTGGGTTGCCATTTCTATGGAGGAGACATATGCACTTAGGTGACTTTCTTCAGCTCATAATACAGGCCCAGACTTGGCCCCATGCCTGTGAGGATGTTGGACCATGCATCCTTGAAGGAGGCTTCGCCCCTTCATTTTAGGAGAGCTTCTGCCAACAATCAAGGGCACCCGTGTTCGTAATATCACCTCCTTTGCACCTGGACTGCATCACCATCCGCCCGCACTGTGAGGAGTAGGTAGGAGGCCACATGGGCCACTGTCATGGCCTGGCAATCATCCAGCTCACCATGTGGTGGGTGTTCTTGGGGTCAGGGAGCATGCCCTTGGCTGTATCATACACGCTGAGGTAGGTTGCCCAGTACATATGGATGCCCTGCACCGAGATGCTGAAGCCCTGGGACAGGCCTCGGATCCCATCAGCCTTGATCTTCTCCAGGCAGTCTGCCAGGCCTTTGAGCTCCCACTATATGCCCAATTTCCCAACGTTGGCTGCCAGGCAGGTTCTGGCAAATTCCAGGGGATAGAAGAAGCACAGGGAGATGGCCCCAGCCGCCCCTCAGGAAGCCAGGTTGCCTGCAAAATATCTCCAGAACTGTGCATGCTTATGCACGCCTCCCAGAAGGACCTGCTTGTACTTATCCCTAAAGGCAAAGTTGAGGGCTTGCATGGGGAAGCAGTGGATGGTGCTGGCCAGGTGCCCCTCCAGAAGGACAAGTGCCCTGCTCCTTGGGGATGTGGACCTTGCAGCCCACCACACCACGCCTTTGTACGGTGTCGCCACAATCTGCTTACTGGCATGTTGCACCTGCAGCAGTGCCTTGACTGGCTCAACTCGGGTCGCTGCCCTCTTGGAAATAGCGAGGGCAATGCCTCCGGCCAGTAAGTCCTTGACAAAGGAGTGTGGCCTGTTCCATCCTGCTGGCCAGCGGGCAGCGGAGGGAGGGAGGGAGCTGCTTGCTCAGCTCTGCTGCTGCTGGGACCAAAAGGCTCTCATGGGATTTTAAATAAATATATGCAAAATTAAACTGCATATAGATTGTATATACAAAACAACTGCATATAGATTGGAAAAGGGAAAATGGAATAAAAAGTTTTAAGTTTCTTACATTGTTTGGGAAGAAGATAAAATTATCAATGATTTTGATAACTGAAGGATTCATGTTATAATATCTAAAATAATCACTAAAAGAAAAGCTTTTTAAGTGTTTAACTTCTAAAATTAAAAAATCCAATAATAAAGATAATCCAAAAATTGACAAGAAAGGAGAAAAAAGAAATCGAATATACGAGACTGAAAGAAAGCATACAGTAAGATGGCAAATGTTTAAGCCTAAAAAATCAATAATTAAATGTGAGTGAAGTAAACGTGCTAATTAAAATACAAAGGCTTTAAGATTTGTAAAAGTATATGATGCTTACAAGTGACACGTTACATCACTTGCATTAATCAATAAAGCAAGCAGATGAAACATTAATAAGGACATAGAAGATTTAAACAGTCTGATGAATAAACTTGATTCAATGAACATATACAGAATGCTGAATACAACAAATGTAAAACAGATATTCTTTTTAAGCAGAACACAGAATATTTCTAAAAACTGACCAAATATTGGACCCTAAAACAAGTCTCAACAAATATCAAAGGACTGAAATCATATATTCTCTAACCATAGTGGAAATTTAAGCTAGAAACCAGTAAAAAAAAAAAAAAAAGAAAAAGAAAAAAAAAGGATAAATTAGAAAATACTAGGGTTTTTGATGCTCTCTGCTCCTCTCATTTGACAGACAGCCGCCCCTTCTCATGCACCACCAGCCGTGTCCCTGAGACACCATGGTGAAAATGAAGGCTGGAATAAACGGATTTGGCTGTATTAGGCACCTGGTCACCAGGGCTTCTTTTAACTCTGGCAAAGCAGGTATTGTTGTCATCAGTGACCCCTTCTTTGACCTCAACTACATGGTCTACATGTTCCAGTATGACTCCACCCATGGCAAGTTCCATGGCAGCATCAAGGCTGAGAATGGGAAGCTTGTCATCAAGGGAAATCCCATCACCATCTTCCAGGAGTGAGATCCCACCAAAATCAAATGGGGGTGACACTGGTGCTGACTATGTTGTTGGGTCCATCAACAACTTCACTACCATGGAGAAGGCTGGGACTCACTTAGAGGGGAGAGCCAAAAGGGTCTTCATCTCTGTCCTTTCTGCTGACACCCCCATGTTTGTGATGGACATGAACCATGAGAAGTAAGAAAATAGCCTCGAGATCCTCAGTAATGCCTCCTGCACCACCAATTGATCACTGCACCCCCATCCAAGGTCATCCATGACAACTCTGGCATTGTGGAGGGACTCATAACCACACTCCATGCCATCACTGCCACCCAGAAGATGTGGGTAGATGGTACCTCTGGGAAACTGTGGCATGACGACCATGAGGCTCTCAAGAACATCATCCCTGCATCTACTGGTGCTGCCAAGGTTGTAGGCAAGGTCATCCCCAAACTGAATGGGAAGATCACTGGCATGGTCTTCCAAGTCCCCACCACCTACATGTCAGATCTGATCTGCCATCCAGAAAACCCTGCCAAATACGATGACATTAAGAAGGTATTGAAGCAGGCACCAGAGGGCCCCCTAAAGGGCATCCTGAGCTATACTGAACACCCGGGTGTCTCCTCCGACTTTAAGTGAGAACCACTCTTCCACCTTCCATGATGGGGCCACCACTGCCCTCAATGACCACTTTGTCAGGCTCAATTCCTGGTATGACAATGAAAATGAATCTGGCTACACCAACAGGGTGGTGGACCTCATGGTCCACATGGCCTCCAAGGAGTAAGTGCCCAGGACCACCAGCTCCAGCAAGAGCACTAACTAAAGGACAAGAGAGGACCTCAGCTGCTGGGGAATACCTGCTGCACTCAAATCTAACAGAATAAACAGACATGCAAAAATCTCTTCTTGACACAGTTTCCATGCCAGACCCCCTGAAGAGGGAGGGGCCTGGAAGGCCCCACCTTGTCATGTACCATCAATAAAGTCCCCTGTATGCAGCCAAAAGGAGAATGAAAGAAAGAAAAATAAAACAAAATACTGAGATGTTTTGGAATTTTTAAAAATAAATACTTCTAAATAATCCATAGGTCAGGAAAAAATATCTGCACTAGAAATTAGAAAACATGTAGAACTGAATAAATGAAAATATGATATATGGATTCATTGGATACAGTTAAAGTAGTGCATAAAGGGAAATTTGTAGCCTTAAATGCATATATATATATATAAATTCATATATATATTAAATGCATATATATATAAAAGCAAAAAGGCTGAAAACAACAAGAAGTTCAAAATGAGTAGAAAAGGAATTGATAAAGAACATAAATTAATGAGATAGAGGGCAAACATTCAATAGATAGGTCACTAAAGCCTAAGTTGGTTACCTAAAAATAACTAATGAAATTGATCAACCTCTAACAAAAATGACAGGAGGAGGAAGGGACGAAGACAACACAAACATGATGGCACAGATCATTAATGCCATGAATAAGAAAGAGGACATCACAACTGATGCACATACTCATAACTCCCTGACTATAAAACTGAAAATTTTAATTAAGTGGAAAATATTATTTAAGGAAATACAATTTACCAAAACTACCACAATAACAACTTTAAAAACCTAGATAGTGCTATAACTATTAGGTTGGGCCACAGGAAAGTACCCTTTTGGTAGGTCAAAAACACTCTAATATTAAAATAATTGAAAATCATCTCATAAAGAAAAATCCAAGCCTAGAAGCCTTCACCAGAGAATTCTTAAGGAATAATGCCAATCTCTAATACAAAATCTTCCAGATAATGGAAAAAGAGTGAACACTCCACAACTCTTTTTTAAGGCCAGCATAACTTTGACACCAATCTGACAAGACTGTTATTAGAGAAAAATTATAGGCAAATCTAACAGAATAAACAGACATGCAAAAATCCTATATAAAAACAGTACAACAGAATAGCACAATCTATATACTGATGCATGACTCTTTCCTCTCCCAGTGGAATGTACTAAGAATAAAATGTGAAATGAATGAATGACCATGACCTTAAAAAATTAATAGATCATGTCCAAGTTGTGTTTATTTTAGAAATACAAAGTTGGTTGAATATGTGAAAAAAAATCGATCAACATCTAACAATACAAAAATATATATGGAACAAGGTTATTTACTATAGCATTTTTTGTAACTTTAAAATATTGGGGCCAGGCGTGGTGGCTCACGCCTGTAATCCCAGCACTTTGGGAGGCTGAGGCCAGCGGATCACCTGAGGTCGGGAGTTCCAGATGAGCCTGACCAACATGGAGAAACCCCAACTCTACTAAAAATACAAAATTAGCTGGGTGTGGTGGCATATGCCTGTAATCCCAGCTACTCTCGGGAGGCTGAGGCAGGAGAATCGCTTGAACCAGGGAGGCAGAGGTTGTGGTGAGCTGAGATCACGCCATTGCACTCCAGCCTGGGCAACAAGAGCGAAACTCCGTCTCAAAAAAAAAAAAAAAAAAAAAAAAAAAAAAATATATATATATATATATATATATGAAACACCCTAAATACTCATACAGAGGAGAATGGTTGAATAAATCAAGGAATACTATGCAGGTATCAAAAAGAATAAAAGCCAGTTGCAGCAGCACACGCCTGCAGCCCCAGGAGATGGGAGGCTCACTTGAGCCCAAGAGTTCGAAACCAACCTGGACAATACAGTGAGACCCCATCTCTTAAAAAAACAGGAATGAGGAAGATTTCTTTAGTGATTTGGAGTGATTTTCAGACATACCATCAAATAAAAGATTTTTAAAAAGTGAAGTGTGTCTTTACTATAAGAAAAAAGGAATATCAGAAAACATACAAGTATTTTCTTATTTGTGCAAAAGAAATATAAAGCTTCTAAAGAAAACTAAATAAATTGGTTACCTTACAAGCCACAGGTGAGAAAGGATGGGAAGCCAGGAAGAATAGGAACAAATTAGTAAGAATTAAGGAGGTAGCAACACTCTGAATATATCTTTTTGCATATATTCAGCCTCTCAGAACCATAATATTTCACATAATTGAACCTCAGTGCCATGGAGTGAATGTTTGTGTTGCCCCAAAATTCCTATGTTGAAATCCTAACCTTCAATGTCATAGTATTAGGAGGTGAGACCTGCGGGAGATAATTAGGTCATGAAGGTAGAACCCTCTTTAATGTGACGAGGCACCTCAGAGCTGTCTCACTCTCCTTCCAACACATGAGGATATAAGGACAAGAAGTTGACTGTGCAACCTGGAAGAAAGCTTTCACCAGAACCTGACCATGCTGGCATCCTGATCTAAACTTCCAGCCTCCAGAACTGTGAGGAAATAAATGTTTGCTGTTTAAGCTACGTAATCTATGGTAATTTGTTATAGCAGCCCAAACTAACTAAAACATGAAGTAACTTTGAAAAATCACCACCGATCCCACAGAAATACAAACTACCATCAGAGAATACTATAAACACCTCTACGCAAATAAACTAGAAAATCTAGAAGAAATGGATAAATTCCTCGACACATACACCCTCCCAGGACTAAACCAGGAAGAAGTTGAATCTCTGAATAGACCGACCAATAACAGGCTCTGAAATTGAGGCAATAATTAATAGCTTACCAACCAAAAAAAGCCCAGGACCAGATGGATTCACAGCCGAATTCTACCAGAGGTACAAGGAGGAGCTGGTACCATTCCTTCTGAAACTATTCCAATCAATAGAAAAAGAGGGAATCCTCCCTAACTCATTTTATGAGGCCAGCATCATCCTGATACCAAAGCCTGGCAGAGACACAACAAAAAGAGAGAATTTTAGACCAATATCCCTGATGAACATCCATGCAAAAATCCTCAATAAAATACTGGCAAACTGAATCCAGCAGCACATCAGAAAGCTTATCTACCATGATCAAGTGGGCTTCATCCCTGGGATGCAAGGCTGGTTCAACATATGCAAATCAATAAACGTAATCCAGCATATAAACAGAACCAACGACAAAAACCACATGATTATCTCAATAGATGCAGAAAAGGCCTTTGACAAAATTCAACAACCCTTCATGCTAAAAACTCTCAATAAATTAGGTGTTGATGGGAAGTATCTCAAAATAGTAAGATCTATGACAAACCCACAGCCAATATCATACTGAATGGGCAAAAACTGGAAGCATTCCCTTTGAAAACTGGCACAAGACAGGGATGCCCTCTCTCACCACTCCTATTCAACATAGTGTTGGAAGTTCTGGCCAGGGCAATCAGGCAGGAGAAGGAAATAAAGGTCTTCAATTAGGAAGAGAAGAAGTCAAATTGTCCCTTGACTTGATACATGATTGTGTATCTAGAAGACCCCATTGTCTCAGCCCAAAATCTCCTTAAGCTGATAAGCAACTTCAGCAAAGTCTCAGAATACAAAATCAATGTGCAAAAATCACAAGCATTCTTATACACCAATAACAGACAAACAAAGAGCCAAATCATGTGTGAACTCCCATTCACAACTGCTTCAAAGAGAATAAAATACCTAGGAATCCAACTTACAAGGGACATGAAGGACCTCTTCAAGGAGAACTACAAACCACTGCTCAATGAAATAAAAGAGGATACAAAGAAATGGAAGAACATTCCATGCTCATGGGTAGGAAGAATCAATATCGTGAAAATGGCCACACTGCCCAAGGTAATTTATAGATTCAATGCCATCTCCATCAAGCTACCAATGACTTTCTTCACAGAATTGGAAAAAACTACTTTAAAGTTCATATGGAACCAAAAAAGAGCCCACATTGCCAAGTCAATCCTAAGCAAAAAGAACAAACCTAGAGGCATCAAGCTACCTGACTTCAAACTATACTACATGGCTACAGTAACCAAAACAGCATGGTACTGGTACCAAAACAGAGATAGACCAATGGAACAGAACAGAGCCCTCAGAAATAATGCCACACATCTACAACTAACTGATCTTTGACAAAGCTGACAAAAACAAGAAATGGGGAAAGCATTCCCTATTTAATAAATGGTGCTGGGAAAACTAGCTAGCCATATGTAGAAAGCTGAAACTGGATCCCTTCCTTACACCTTATACAAAAATTAATTCAAGATGGATTAAAGACTTAAATGTTAGACCTAAAACCATAAAAACCACAGAAGAAAACCTAGGCAATACCATTCAGGACATAGGCATGGCAAGGACTTCATGTCTAAAACACCAAAAGCAATGGCAACAAAAGCCAAAATTGACAAATGGGATCTAATTAAATTAAAGAGCTTCAGCACAGCAAAAGAAACTACCATCAGACTGAACAGGCAACCTACAGAATGGGAGAAAAATTTTGCAATCTACTCATCTGACAAAGGGCTAATATCCAGAATCTACAATGAACTCAAACAAATTTACAAGAAAAAAACAACCCCATCAACAAGTGGGCAAAGGATATGAACAGACACTTCTCAAAAGAAGACATTTATGCAGCCAACAGACACGTGAAAAAATGCTCATCATCACTGGCCATCAGAGAAATGCAAATCAAAACCACAATGAGATACCATCTCACACCAGTTAGAATGGCGATCATTAAAAAGTCAGGAAACAACAGGTGCTGGAGAGGATGTGGAGAAATAGAAACACTTTTACACTGTTGGTGGGACTGTAAACTAGTTCAACCATTGTGGAAGTCAGTGTGGCAATTCCTCAGGGATCTAGAACTAGAAATACCATTTGACCCAGCAATCCCATTACTGGGTATATACCCTAAGGATTATAAATCATGCTGCTATAAAGACACATGCACACGTATGTTTACTGTGGCACTATTCACAATAGCAAAGACTTGGAACCAACCCAAATGTCCAACAACGATAGACTGGATTAAGAAAATGTGGCACATATACACCATGGAATACTATGCAGCCATAAAAAATGATGAGTTCATGTCCTTTGTAGGGACATGGATCAAGCTGGAAACCATCATTCTCAGCAAACTATCGCAAGGACAAAAAACGAAACACCGCATGTTCTCACTCATAGGTGGGAATTGAACAACGAGAACACATGGACACAGGAAGGGGAACATCACACACTGGGGCCTGTTGTGGGGTGGGCAGAGCGGGGAGGGATAGCATTAGGATATATACCTAATGTTAAATGATGAGTTAATGGGTGCAGTACACCAACATGGCACATGTATACATATGTAACAAACCTGCACGTTGTGCACATGTACCCTAAAACTTAAAAGTATAAAAAAAAAACAAAAAAAACCAGTATTTTGACTATATAGTGAAAGGATAGGCCAAAAAAAAAGAACCATATACAAATACAATACTCTAGTTAGTAAATTTGATTTTCATAGGAGTACATGTTAGCAATTCTGTAACTACAGACAAGTGAGTATGTTATAGATAATGAGAACCAGGTTTCTTACTATCAGAAAAAAATTAGAAATACAGAAAGGGAGAAGGTTAGAATAAACCTTGTGATGTTGAACTACAATCGGAGGTTTCAGTATGAACTCATGATTTTAGGTAAATAAATTCACAGAGTACTGGACTATAACCCATAGAATATAATAAATATCCACAAGTCCAATATTAATATAAAATAATTGAATAAGTAAATAAGTAGGGGAGATGAGACATCTCTTCCTTTAGAAGAATTACAATGGGCCGGGCGCGGTGGCTCACGCCTGTAATCCCATCACTTTGGGTGGCCGAGGCGGGTGGATCACCTGAGGTCAGGAGTTTGAGACCAGCCTGGCCAATATGGTGAAACCTCGTCTCTACTAAAAATACAAAAATTAGTCAGGCGTGGTGGTGGGTGCCTGTAATCTCAGCTACTTGGGAGGCTGAGGCAGAAGAATTGCTGGAACTGGGGAGGCAGAGGTTGCAGTGAGCCGAGATTGTGCCATTGCACTCCAGTCCAGGTGACAACAGGGAGACTCCATCTCAAAAAAAAAAAATTACAATGAATAAGTGTAGAAGGACTGACAAAAGTTAAAAATCACCATTAGACCAACACCACAGCAATAATTACATCAGGCAAGATCCACTAATGGCTAAAATCAATGGGCAAAAGTGAGAAGAAACAGGAAATTGGCATAGATTCAAAGTATCTCCCACAAGAGAATAAAGTATCTCCCCCAAATGAATAAATAATAATTTTACAATGGAAAAATCTGGTACACTATCTTAATCAAGTGATCAAGGTTAACATCACCAGTTAATAAGATTAATTGACATCCTATACCTCTGAATACAATCCACTGAGACAAGGAAACAACAGCATCATGTTTGTGGTATTCTTGCCAAAAATACATAATTGCAATCGAATCATGAGAACATATCAGATAAATCCAAAATGAGAGACATTCTACAAAATAACTGACCAATACTCATAAAAAATGTCAAGGTCATGAAAGATAAAAAACAAATAAAGAACTATTACAACTAAAAGCAATGTGGCATCCTGGATTGAATCCTGGAACAGAAAAGGAGCATTAGAGGGAAAATTCAAATGAGCTCTGTAGTTTAGTTAAAAGTACTGTACCAAATGGGTGGGAGATCTGGCTCAGGACATTAGAGCCTGAGTAGGGTGAAGAGGGCATGCATCATGTAAAGGCACAACCTAGCACAGGGCATGAGAGCCCAAAGCAAGAGGAAGAGGGAAGCTATACAATGGGAAAGTCCAATATGAGGAGTCAGAACCCAAGAAAAAGAAGGAAGGTGTCCACATTGCAGTGAACAGGCTCCGCATGGCACAAGGTTTCCAAGGCTGAATGGAGTGATGGTGACATTTACAAAAGGACATGGATGATTGGAAAATAATTACATACAGAAGGATTGATCAAATAAGTAAATACAACAAAGATAAAGTTTTTCTCACTTTTGGAAAACGGAGTTAAATATGGTAAGGGAAAAAACAGAATTATTTCTGTTGTGATAGACTGTAACTGGAGGTATCAGCATGACCTCATCATGGTTTTCGATATACATGTAGATAAATACATATGGAAATAAATATGAACATGGATGTACACATGTGTAGACACAAGCACACCCCTATGTATGTAACATTCATGTTTCTTAGCTCTATGTACATAACATTCATATGTTTCTTAGCTCTCTAGAGGGCCTGGGAGCCATAACACTTTATAAGCAGTAACTACACCTAGCACTGGGTGTTGATTTCTAAATATCATTAGAAATCAGCACTCCCTGGAAAAATGGTTGATTCCAGAACTAGGACAGAGAAGGTATAAAATGAGCCTGGAATGTCTTTTTGTGCCAGAAAGTAAGGAAATACTTAAAGAATGACAGGGGCATGTTAAAAGGACACAGAGGTCAGCTTAAATAGGATTCCTCTGGTCAAATTGAGGACAATTTGAGCATCAAAATAAATAAAGACATTTGTGTTTGTAAAGGCGAACTCAGGGAAAGCTTCTGAGGCAAGGAAATTAAAGCTGAGTTTTAAAACTGAGTAGAAATTAGAGGCAAAGGTATGTGAGTGTATATGTGTGTGTCTGGGTGAGAGGGAGAGAGAGAGAAAGAAAAAAGTGGGGGTATGTGGAGAAGGAGAGGGGCACTGACAGGGAAGACATTCCAGGTAAAAAAGACAGACTAAGCAAACGAGGGCAAATTAGTATACTATACAAAAAAAGAGGGAAAATTACTATACAGGAGCAGGAGCAGGACTAATGTATACATGTAGCTTTGCTACTTCTTTCTAGTGTTGACTTTAATAAGCCACTTGCATTGTCTGAATATGTATTTTTGTGCTGTTTTATGATAGTCTCAAAAAAATGAATATTCATTTTGCACCTTAAAATTGGAAGTTGAACTGAATTCTCCCTTCCAGCTGAAAATTCAAGAGTCAATATTATTCTGACCAATCTAATCTACCTTCTCCCATTCTCCTAGCATGTCAGTAAACAAACCTCTACTCTAATGGATCTAATAGAAAAAAGGGCTTTGTGTCTATGAAGCACCAGAGATGTCTGGTTATTATTCAATCACAACAAATTGTTCATATGAGAAATAAAAATACAGTAATGATATACACAATTCAAAACCACCTGCAGAGCCAACTCTCTAGAAGTAAAATTAAAGCTATACTAATTCTGAGTGAATCCTGCAAAGGGTCTAACTTAATGAGCTAGTTAAAACAACTTTGAGTACTACAGTATTTTATCAAATATATAAAGTTAACTCCTCTTCCCTTTTTTAAATAATGTTATTTGTACATTCAGCTTATCTCTAGACTTTCTTCTCTAGCAGCTACCACTGCTATTCATTATATTTTCCAGCTTGCTTTCCATCCTCTAAGCCAGTGGGCTCCAAATTTTGTTTGACTGCGACCCACAATAAGAAGTACATTTGATAACTTCAGCCAGTTCATACATACATATGCACACATATGTGTACATATGTGTACATACACATATACATATAAACTGGAACATTCGTTTCATAAAAGAGTGCTTGCTCTTATTATATGCCATACACATTGATATTTTTCTGTCTGTTGTAATTCATTTTTTTAAAATGCTGATTTGGGCCCACTAAATAGACCTTTATAATCCATTAATGGACTGCAATCCAGTTCAGAAAACACTACTCTAAGCCACCCCAATGTCCCACAAAGCTGTTGCTTTTTAGTATCTCTTAAGCTGCACAGTGTAAAGGCCAAGAGGGCTGACTCTTGGGTCCAAATCCTCGTCTGATACCTAGCTTTGACCTTATTCATTCTGACCTTGGGCAAGATACTTAAATTCTCTAAGCTTTACTTTTCTCATCTATAATCTAAGGATGATAATATTACCTATGGGGATGGTAACAGTACCTCGGCCTTATAAGGTTGTGAGATTTAAATGAGATAATCTGTACAATATTTACCACGATGCCTGACATACATGAAAATACCAATATGTTATTATTATCACATGTTCTATCAATCCAACAGAGAAAACTAGTTCTACTAATCCAGAGAACAATTTGCCAGAGAAAATTAGTAGAGAGGAGATTACTGGTAACTCCTAATTCTCAATAATGCCTGGTTTATATGGAAACAATATAAGGTGCACAGAGGAAAACAGTATTTATCTAGTATGTAGAATACATTTTCAGGATTTTATCATCTTTGCTCATTTATTACATATCTAATCACATTTTCTATATTATACACATTTGAATAAGAATATGAAGTTATTCAAAAGATTTCACTCTTCCAGCGTAACTCACACAACCTAAACTACAAGAAGTAGCTTTTAGGACAACTTTCTAAAACTCCTATACCTTACCATTCCTGATCCACTGCTTAGGAATCTGTCCTCCTAAAGTCATATCTTCTCCTTTAAGACACAAACAACTGTGAATATATTACTGCCTGTATACAAAATAAAGTGGTTATTTGCCTGTTCTGCAATTTAAGTAAAAAAAAAAAAAAAAAAAAAAAGTAACCCCTATAATCAGGAAGGCCTCCTTTTCTCTGAAAGTTATTGTGAAATAAAAACATTACACAAAAACCACATTTACAAGATTAACTGCTGAGACACTGCTCAGGTAGCTACTGAGCCCCAATATGCACGGGGTACTATGTTTGGTATATGAGCAAGGATAAAACAATTCATGATCTCAAGTAATTAAGTCTCCTGAAAAGTACAATAACTTGGGTGGGTAGTATATCGTTTGGTGAGGTATTATCTTCACGCTTTTTTCTTTTTTCTTTCTTTTTTTTTTCTTTTTTTGAGAAATACGGTCTCACTCTGTTGCCCAGGCTGGAGAGCAGTGGCATGATCATAGCTTATTACAACCTCAAATTCCTCAGCTCAGGCGATCCTCCTGCTTCAATCTCCCAAGTAGTTAGGACCACAGGCACAAGCCACTACGCCCAGCTAATTTTTTATTCTTTTAGAGATGGGTGTGGGGCTGGGTCTTGCTATGTTGCTCAGCTGGTCTTGAACTCTTGGCCTCAAGGGATCCTCCTGCCTAAGCCTCCCAAGCAGCTGGGATTATAGGCATGAGCCTATATCCCAACTATCTTCACCCATTCTATCAGCCTCTGTCAACTAAGCAAAAAAGATAAAAATAAAAAATAAAAAAAAACGGGACAGGGGAGCTTTTAAAGAATTAAAGTTAGTTTTATTTAGAAGTCTTACTGAGGACTGTTACCTAGGAGAGTCTTTTAGAGAATTTTTGTTAGACTGTTTCAAAGTAGGGTTTTAGACACAGTTTATAAATTGGTGGTGGCAGTTTTGTATGTGCTTGTAAGTTATAGTAGAGCAAAATCTCATTAAAGTTTGGGTGTAAGGGCATATCTGGTTATATATTACGGAGGCATAATCACTAATCTTGTTGGACATTATCTTACGTGCAGAAAGAGGCAACGACTAGAATCACTGAACTTGCCTTTTCTAAAAATGCAGTGATTTAAGCTGGAGATGTGGGAAACTGTGTTCTATCTTATTTATTGTCTTTAGGGCTTTTTGTTGTTGTTGTTGTTGTTGTTTTTAGAGGACTGTGCTCAGTCACTGAGTCAGGGCCTTTGTGAAATTTTGTTGGCAAGGGATTTTGTGAAATTCTGGCAAGTAGAACAAGCAAACATCAAACATTCTCATTTTCTTAAATTTGCTGCTTTGTCTCACACCTCTAATATCTTTGCTTACTAGAATTCTATTCACTCTTCTGGGCTACGCTACAATGTCACTTTCTCCACCTATGTTGCTCATGGTGAGAGCAGCTGCTCTCTCCTTCCTTAAATTTATTCAAATATTCCAATGCTCAGGCAATATATAAATACATACACCATGTACCAGTCATTGTCTTAGGCATTAGGGACACAAATTGGATCAACAGTTTAGAGCTCTAGTCCAGCAATAATCAGCGTCCAAATCTACCTTCCCGGTTTTACTTTCCCACATACTCTTCCATGAACCACTACATTCTGTTAGATTGTATGTACTGTTCACATGACACGATTCTCTGCTTTTGCTCAAGTTGTTCCCTCAGCTGGAATGCCTGAGCCCCATCTCTAACTGTAAATAATAAAAGCTAAACCTATTGAGCATTTAATTTGTGTCAGCACGGTTCTAAGCATATAACATGTATTAACTAAATTTTCACAACAACTACATGAGATAGGTATTATTATTATCCTTATTTTCTAGAATAAGGAAACAGAAAAGTTTAGTATTTCACAACGACATAGCACCTAAAAAGCAGCAATGAGAATGGAATCTCTAGGCTTCAGACACCCCTAGTTCCGTTAAATAAACTCACCCCATCCCATTCTGTTTTCGCTGAACAAAGTTCTTCTTAAGGAATAACAATATAAACTTTTCCACAGTTTGGAGATATTATAGCAAACAGAAAGAATGAACGACAGAAACTCTGGTCAGGAAACTTGGGTCCAAAAGGGGTTAATATCACCAACTACCTCATGGTTCCACTGTGAAAATCAGGGGAAATAAGGTATGTAATAACACTGGGAATCCAACGAGATTGGGGTCCTCAGTGCAAAACTATTTTCGTACTAATACTGAAACATAATCTGCGTTTGTCATGTTTGCAATGATGCTGTAAGAACAATGGTGGTAAAACTGCTGGCACACGAGCACAAATCAAGGCAATGGCACCAATCAGAACTGGTAGTCACTAAATTCTTTACCACTACATGCTTGCAGGGAAAAATAAAACATTACTATTTCTTTTAAGAATGCCCTTGAAGAAAAGCAGTAAACATCATCAAATTTTGACCCTCGAGTAAATATTTAATACATAGTCTCTGTGACAAATGGGAAGCACATATAAAGTACTTCTGCTACACACTAAAGTATAACGGTTATCTCAAGGAAAAGCATTTGTGCAAATGTCTGAGTTGGGAACTAATGGGCACTTTGTTAACAGAATATCATTTTTACTACAAAGAACAAATGACAAACTAAATTATTCACTCTCGGGTGTTTGGCAAACATTTCCCCGAAAATGAATGAAGTGAGTTTGTCATTTCAGGAAAAATTGACAACATTTATTGCCAATTATAAAATTCAAGCTTGTAGGCAAACATTAGAATTTTGGAAAACATGTATTCACCAGCCACCACGACCTTGACAGATTCTGAAAACTTAAAGCCTTTTCTGATTAGTTTGGAGCAATATCAACAAATGTAATTTTTTTATGTCATAAAATGAAATGTGTCAATATTTGGAAGATCCATATAATTCAGTAAACCGATTTGATTTTCAAATAACCAACGCATGATGTTACAAACTCATACAAAGCATAAAAGATCTATTCAAAGTGCCACACAAACCAATGGATTTTAATGTAATAAAAATATTTTCATATAACGTCATTAATACAATTTCAGATTTCACATTGCAACTAAACTTTAAGTAACTATCACTTAAATTTTGGTGAGTATCAAAGAATATTCGCAGTTATCTAAAAAGGCTATTAAAATATTCCTCCCTTTTCTAACCACGTATCTGTTGAGGCTACATTTTCATATACTTCAATCCGAACAACTCATCATAATAGATTGAATGCATAAGCAGATATGAGAATCCAGCTGTCTTCTATTAAGTCAGACGTTAAAGAGAATTGCAAAAATCTAACATGATGCCATTCTTCTCACTATTTGTTTGGGAAAATTATTATTTTCTCATTAATGTTAGTATAATGGGTTTCTTGTGGCTATTTTTAAATAAATAAGTACATGTTTTCAAAATCCCTCAGTTTTAATTTCTAAACTGGCAAATTAATAAATATAACCCACATAAAGAAAAGCTGTTTAAAGTCCTTAAATAACATTAAAAAGTGTACAAGGATCCTCAGACCAAAAAGTCTGGGAACTGCTGGTATATAATACATGTGATATCTTACTTGATTGCTTCCTCCAACAGAATGTAAGCTCCTAGAAAGCAGAAGCTTGACAGCCTTATTCATGGCTGTATCTCTGGCATTTTCCAAAATGCCTTGCACATTTTAGTGTCTTGCTCATTATGTATCTGTGGGTAGTTACACTACGAATAGCAGCATGGATGCTGAATACAAATATTCCACTTAGATAATCAGATGGTTCAAAATGCAACTGACTATAGTTTGGAACAAGTTGGGACATGCTGAGTAGTCAGATGGTATATATATTTTTTAGAATTAAAATCAGCTCACATTAATTCAACCTAAGATGGTATTTTTTAAAAAGGTAAAAAGAGGTGAGGAGAGAGAATGACCAATTCACATGACTGAGATTAAAGTAATCTAAGCCTATGCTTTGATATCCACGAAGTCTGAGTCATTATTTAAATAAACTGCTATCATATTAAGAACAGAGGTGAGATCACATTAGAAAGATCTGTGTGCCTTACTACGCCTCCTATATGCTTCTGTCAAAGCATCTACAACACTATAATGCTCTAATTTGTTTACATTTTTTTCCCTTCCCTCGCTCAGCTATCCCTGAGGTTTGGGATAAAATCTGATCTATATTTTCTTCTTTTCTTTTCTCTCTCTCTCTCTTTTTTTTTTTTTAAAGACAGTCTTAAAAAAGATTCTGTTGCCCAGGCTGGAATGCAGTGATACTAACATGGCTCGCAGCAGCCTTGACCTCCTGGGCTCAAGCGACCCTCCTGCTTCAGCCTCCTAAGTGGCTGAGACCACAGCTAAGTGCCATGCCAGGCTAATTTTTTTTATTTTTTGTAGAAACAGGGTCTCGGTATGTTACCCAGGCTGGTCTTGACATCCTGGGCTCAACCTATCCTCCTACCTCTCAAAGTGTTGGAATTACAGGGGTGAGCCATCACACTCAGGCTGATCCATATTTTCTTAATTTTCAGAGCCTGACATTTTCTTAGCAACTAATTGGTAGTCATAATTATAGGACAAGTGATAATTTGTCACCTTTTCAGATGCTATCTTCTCAATGAACTCTTCTAAACAGCATAGACTAAAACCTGGCCCCCTAACCGAGCATTCTCAATTCCCATTATCCTGCACTATCTTTTTCTTTTCTCTATTGTACTTATCCCTTCTAACATATACAGTCATGGACTGCAATGACATTTAGTCAAAGACAGACTGCAGGCGGGGTGCAGTGGCTCACTCCTGTAATCCCATCACTTTGGGAGGGTAAGGTAGGAGGATTGCTAAGCCCAGGAGATCAAGGCTGCAGTGAGCCATGATCATGCCACTGTACTCCAGCCTGAGTGACATAGCAAGAACCTGGAAAAAAAAAAAAAAAGAAGAAAGAAAGGAAGGGAGGGAGGGAGGGCAAGGAAGGAAGGAAGGAAGGAGAGAGAGAAAGGAAAAGGAAGAAAAGGAGGGAGGGAGGGATTGCATATATGACAGTGGTCCTGTAAGATTGTAATTCCTATCACCTAGTGACATAGCCACCCTGATGCTGTCCTAACTTTGCAGGGCGTTTGTGGCAATGCTGGTGTAAACAAATCTACTGCTCTGCCAGTCATAAAAAAGTATGGCATGTACAGACATGTATGGTTATAATGCTTGATAATGATAATAAATGACAATGTGACTGGTTTATGTATTTACTATACTATACTTTTTAACATTATTTTACTTTATACTTATTTATTTCAGACGAGGTCTTACTCTGTTGCCCAGGTTAGAGTGCAGTGGCACAATCAGAGCTCACTGCAGCAGCCCTGACCTCCCAGGCTCAAGCGATTCTCTCACCTCAGCCTTCTTAGTAGCTGAGAATACAAGGTGCATGCTACCACGCCTGGCTAATATTTAAAAATTATTTGTAGACACAGGGTCTCGCTATGTTGCCCAGGCTGATCTCAAACTCGTGGACTCAAGCAATCCTCCTGCCTGGCCTCCCAAAGTGCTGGGATTGTAAGTGTGAGCCACTGCACTCAGCCTTTTTATCTTTATTTTAGAGTGTATGCCTTCTATTTATTTATTTTTTAAAGCTGTAAAACAGCCTCAGGCAGGTCCTTCAGGAGGTATTCCAGAAGAAGGTATTGTTATCATAGGAGATGATAGCTCTATGCCTGTTATTGCCCCTGAAAACCTTCCAGCGGGACAAGATGTGGAGGCAGAAGACAGTGATATTAAAGTTCCTGACCCTGTGTAGGCCTAGGATCATGTGTGTGTTTGTATCTTCATTTAAAAAAAAACAAACTTTAAAACATAAAAAAAAATCTTAAATAGAAAAAAGCTTAGAGAATAAGGATATAAAGAAAATATTTTTATAACTATACAATATGTTTGTGTTTTAAGCTAAGTATTATTACAAAAGAGACATGAAGTTAAAAAAATTAAAAAGCTTATCCAGTAAAAAAAGTTACAGCAAGCTAATGGCTGGGTGCGGTGGCTCAAGCCTGTAATCCCAGCACTTTGGGAGGCCGAGGCAGGTGGATCACAAGGTCAGGCGTTCGAGACCAGCCTTAGGTGTACATTAGGCTAGTGAAACCCCGTGTCTACTAAAAATACAAAAACTAGCCGGGCATGGTGGCGCTCGCCTGTAATCCCAGTTACTCAAGAGGCTGAGGCAGGAGAATCGCTTGAACCCAGGAGTCAGAGGTTGCAGTGAGCCGAGATCATGCCACCACACTCCAGCCTGGGCGACAGAGTGAGACTCCATCTCAAAAAAAAAAAAAAAAAAAAAAAAGTTACAGCAAGCTAAGGTTAGTTTATTATTGAAGAAAGAAAAAATTTTTAAATAAATCTAGTGTAACCTAAGTGTACAGTGTTTATAAAATCTACAGTGGTACACAGTAATGTCCAAGGCCTTCACATTCACTCACCACTCACTTACTGACTCACCCAGAGCAACTTCCAATCCTGCAAGCTCCGTTCATGGTAAGTGCCCTATACAGGCATACCATTTTTTATCTTTTATGCTATATTTTTACTGTATCTTTTCTATGTTTAAATACACAGATACTTATCATTGTGTTACAACTATCTACAGTATTTACTTCAGTAATACTCTACAGGCTTGTAGCCTAGGAACAATAGGCTATCTCATGTAGCTTAGGTGTACATTAGGCTATCCCATCTAGGTTTGTGTAAGTACACACTGTGATGTTGGCACAATGATGAAACTGTCTAATGACGCATTTCCCAGAACCGATCACCATCATTAAGCAACACATGATTGTATACTTATTCATGTTTATTTCTCCCTCCTGCTTCTGAAATATAAGCTCTACAAAGGCAGGGATCTTTATCTGTTTTATATATTGATGTATCCCAAGCCCCTAGAATAATGCCACCCATATAGGTGCTCAATAAATATTTGCTGAATGAGGAATGATGATCCACTAATTTATTATTCAGTGCAGGGTTCCATTATTATATTTAGAGACTAAAATTAGATTTCCTAAGAAATCTTTATTTTTGCTTAATGATCCTTTTAAAGCTGCCACAATTGGATCTTTCAACAATTTATGAATAGTTTTAGCTGAAGTCTCCAAAACTGTCAGATAAAATGCAGGCAAATATTTACACAAGTGTTCCTCCCCCACAACTTCCACTTCGACAATATGAGGCAATGCTGTGAGTCTCTGGAACAAAGTCAGCACTGTAGTGGGCAACCAGGTATCAGTGATTCACTCAAAGCAGACAATGAAAACCAAATGTAGATTAATGGGTTCTTTTCAGTTCATTCTAAAATCACATGCTTCTTAGTTAAATTATTACTAGTCAATGGAAAGCCTCACCAAATTTATCTGTAAATATATCCTAAAAAATGTAGCTCCTACAGTAAATATTTCCTATTTTAACTCTAGGCTTCAGAGAAGGCCTAATCTTAGGTCATTATTTCTTAATTTTGAAATCTAGAAAAATCAGGATTTGAGTTTTTAATCTTTAAGATACATTAATATAATACCGAAAGGACTACAAAAATGTTAGAAATAGGATGGTTTTAGAGAATTCACTCAAATGTCAATAAGGAGGTTGCTTTGGCAGAAAAGAATCCAGAAAAAGGGAGAACAGGAAGCTTAAAAAGCTATAGAAAGAATGAACCTGGGTCATGTCATTGACAGGAGATAAAGAAAAGATGGAATCCAATGGACATGGTAACTCATCAGATACAGAGAGGAATGTAGGGAATGTAGACTTAGGGAAACAGAAGGCTTCAAATTTGGCTAATTGGGTAAATGAAGTGCTGTTTTATAACATAGAGAAAACAGGAAGAAAATCAGATTAGGAGGTGGTAGGTTACCAAAATTTTATTTGGGGCTGGAAGAGTCTCAGACTCAACTAATCCTGAAATTTGGTAAACTTGACCTCTGCAAGAATCTTATTAAAAGAGGTTTTATTGAATATTAACCTTCCTTCTCCAGGGAAAGCCAAAATGTAAAATATATCTTTAACATATTCTGGGGAAGAAAAGAGAAAGAAGAATGACAGGAGGTAATTAGAAGAAGCTAAAGCTAAATCTCAATTCATGAGGGAAAATATAGAACTTCAAAAATACCTGCCCATTGATTACCAAGGCTAAGAGTTTCAGAAAGGAAGAATATTACACATCATTCAACTTTTGAGTAAGTCAATGAAAGGAAAGAAAGAAAAAAAAATGCCTGTTAGAAAATTCAGGAAAGAAACTAAAGCAAGGCCAAAAATATAAATCTATAGGAAAAAAGAATTTGCTACTGAATTCTTTTGTTGGCTTCCAAGGCAAGCAAAGCCAAAACAGATGTGGCCTAACAGAGTAACAGAACCACATTATAAGAAATTACCATGACTGATTTATGTTACTATAAATAAAATGTTTAGAGAATTTTCTGAAAACAGATGTTATTCCTTACACATTGCAGGTAAGGAAGCCCTTTAGACTTAAAAAGAATATGCAAATATTTCTTCAGGGTATAAGGTAGAGTGAAGGTATTTCTGCATTATAATCTTATAATATTCCTGGTAAACAACCTTTCTGAAGGCTTCACTCTTTGCCCTCAGTAGCTTTCCAAGGACTTCTGCTCAGGGCAAAGAACTAGCAGTAAGCTACTTCCTCCCTTCTCTATATTTAGCATAAGCTGTTAATATAATATCTTCACCTTTCTTTCAGAGAGCATATAGTCCTAGACCAAGGCTGCAATATAAACTCAGACATAATCCAAGTACACTCCACAAGCTTTAACTCCATCTCATAAAACACAATCTATATATAGTAAAATGTCACTGATTCAGCCCTCCCTACATTTAGGACTTACAATGATTTATACCAAATCACTATGCTTAAATCAAATTCATTAAGTACAAAATGTAAAAACTTTTTTAAAATTCTTTTAAAAAATTTTTTTAGTTTATTTTTATTTTTTAGAGACAGGATCTTGCTCTGTTGCCCAGGCTGGTGTGCACTGACACAATCATAGCTCACAGCAGCCTCGAACTCCTAGATTCAAGTGATCCTCCCACCTCAGCCTCCCAAGTAGCTAGGATTATAGATGCATAACACCATGCCCTGGTAATTTCAAAAGGATCTCGCCTCTTTGCTTAGGCTGGTCTTGAACTCCTGGGCTTGAGCAATCCTCCTGACTCAAACTCCCATAGTATTGAGATTACAGGCATAGGCTACCATGCCTGGCCCAAGAAATTCTTGATGACATGCCAAAAAATATATATTAGACAACAATGTTAAACTTAGTTCTAGTTTCTATATATAAAGCTAGAAAAGGTATTTCTTTTCAGATAGGCTATGGCTCAGATTCACTTCTCTCTACCATGAACCAACCTGTCCACATTGCTAAAATTCAACTGCACATTGCATTTATGGCATTACCCTGATTTATCTCATTAGTTGAAAATGTAAATTCCTCAAAAGTTTTGTAAGCTACCTAAAAACTCCCACAGAGAGAACATGGTCAAGCGTCAATTTTTATACTTCGAATAGTCATGTTCCATTCATAGTCCATCCATTGACAATCAGGATGTACCCTGTGTAAGTAAAAGCAACCACCGTTACTGCCTTGGTTCAAACCTTCACCATCTCTCACCAGAGCCTCTGCAGTAAGCTCCACACTAGGCTCCTTGTCTCCAATCTCACTTCTCTTCACTCTGGTTCCTAGTGTTCCCTCTGAGCCACAAATGTGACGAGGAGGCTTCCCTGACTAAAATTGCCCTTTCCTAATTTACAGAAAAGGTGTTTTAACCTATCATTCTGGTGTATGAGATCTTTGATGATCTATCTAGTTCCAGCTCAACTCAAGCCTCCTTCTCCTCACCTCCCGTGTATTCTAAAATATAGGACACTTCTTACATTTCTCAAACAGGTCATCCTTTTCCACACTTCCAAGCTTGTGCATACACGGTTCCCTTTGCTTAGAATGTGCTGCCCCTTTCTCTGCAGGTTGCTAAGTGATCCTTCTTTCCACTTCCAGCCTTGCCAATCTCCACCTCTATTTCATCCTTCAAAACCCACATCAAACATTATCTCTTCTGTGAAGCTTTTCCTTGCCTCTACTAGTTTTCTCTTCAACATTTCCATAGGTCTCTATGGCACTTATGTTGTACTGTAATTATTTGTTCCAAATTACATACTATGCATAAGTTATTTTGCATCCTGTGCTTAAGTTTCCTTATAGTTATCTTTTGGGTTGTTAAAAGAATTAAATGAGAAGATGTACTTAAGCCTTTGGTACAGTTCCTGCTGTACCAGCTGCTATGCTCATCAGTCATTCCTCCTATCAAACTGAGACCCCCTGAATAGCACTCCATCAGTTCTGTATCCCTTGTGCCATCCTCAGTGTGTGGGATTTTCAATTTTGGGTTATCACTAAGCCAAACCCTAGACTAGAAAAAGGAGAAATGGGGAATCCCAGAAACAGCAGCAGCATTATCACAAGTAAATTCATACAGAGTAACAGCAGCAGCTAAGGTGTTTCGAGCCCTGCTATTTGCCAGGCACCATGTTGAGTATTTATATGCATTTCTCTAATCTCACAACACTTATAGAGTCAGCATTGGCATCCTTATTTTACTGGTAACCTCATGCTCTACATTCAGTCTTCTTTGGAAAGCAGGACTTCTGCAAAGAAGGAGTAAATATGAGAAAACATATTGGTTTGTTTCCTTCAACAATCTGGGAATACTCCCTCAGTTGACACAGTAAGAGAACTGTGTGTTAGAACAGGATTAAAATTAAATTGGGTACAGGTTAATGTTTGACTCCCTGACCCTTAAATCCATACGGGGAGCATCCCTAGGCCTTTCTCTGGCCAGGTTTCCAAACCTCCCACACACCTGGTAACAGACTTGATCATCTTATGCCTCATGCCATGACTCAAGCCCATCTTTTCCAACCAATGCCCCAGTTCCTTTGCCTCAGCTGGGTCCCTGCCCAGTGACAAGCATCAACATGGATATACACTAAGCACAGGAGAAACGTGACAACCAAAACCACCTGACAGCATGAAAACATTGCTAATACAGTCAGTGTAGGAAGGATGCTATGCTGTTTAGGAGAGAGAACAGCAGTGAAGCTAGAGCTGCAAAGAGGTTAAGCCATGGTAAAAGAGACAGACATGAGTATAGCCAAGAGTAACAAGGAAGGAAAGGCATGAACAAGCAGCACCATGTGATGAAAAGAGCATAGGTTTGAATCCAGGCTCTGCCACTTCCTACATGTGTGACATGGAATAAAAACTTACACAAGCCTCAGTTTCCTTATCTATAAAATGAGAATAAAAATACCTACTTTTTAAGTATGTGTGAGGTACCTAGGAGAATTATACTCCCTGCACGTTAACTGAACCCGAAGTAAGCATTTGCATCCTCTGCACCCCATTTTTATGCACCAGAGGCTCACTTCTATATCATAATAATCTTCTCCAGAAAAAATTTACAATCATCCCCTCCAAGAAAAATTCCCACTGACACCCATCTCCACTTGATTTAAATCATCCATATTCAAGGACCAGTTCAATTTTCTTTTATTTGATCCCCTGATTCCTCCCACTGGGCAGTTACCTAAAGCAGAGGTCCCCTGGCAAAGATAGAGACTTTCTTATATTTATTTGAACTCGATTTCTTTTTTCCTGGGTATTCAAACTCTCTTATGGTCCCAAATTTAATATTAAGAAAATCTAATGATAAAATTTAACTTTAATCTATACGCTGTATCAGTGTTACATGTGGAATACATTAATGAAAGCACCATGATCCTAAGAATGAATGCCTTGTAGAGGTCTTTTGTAAGAGGTTAATGGAGGAGGTTCAAAAGACAAAGATAATCATAGTAGGGGCCGGGTGCAGTGAATCACGCCTGTAATCCCGGCACTTTGGGAGGCCAAGGCGGGCAGATAACTTGAGGTCAGGAGTTCGAGACCAGCCTGGCCAACATGGCAAAACCTCGTCTCTACAAAAAAATTAGACGGTGTGGTGGCGCGCCTATAATCCCAGCTACTTGGGAGGCTAAGGCAGGAGAATCGCTTGAACCCTGGAGGTGGAGGTTGCAGTGAGCCAAGATCATGCCACTATACTCCAGCCTGAGTGACAGAGTGAGATGCCATCTCAAAAAAAAAAAAGATTATCATGGTAGAAGTAAGCATTTTCTTGGAGAATTTACCAGTTGGCAGTCTAAAAGTAAAAACAAGGGTGAGTGAGTGCAGTCTACGCATTACCAGAATTACTATAGCTTTAACTTAGAGATATTTAACCTGGGTCTGAGAACTGCCTGAAATTGTGTGCAACCAGGAAGCCTCTTCTAGGATGGTTTTCAAAATGCAAAAACCTTGGTATTAGGCATGTTGCTTTGCTCACCCTTTATACTCAGAAACTAACTTAATGCCTGGGATACAATAAACACTCAAATATTTCTTTAGAAAAAAATGAATGTATGAAAAGAAGGGAATAAATTGAGTACTGGTATTTTCTAGAAGCGAAGGACTGCCTAGGGAAGGGCTGTAGGGCTGAAGTAGGAGGATAACTTGAGCCAGGAGTTCAAGGCCACAGTGAGCTATGATCCTGCCACTGCATTCCAGCCTGGGTGACAGAGCTAGATTCTCTTGCAAAAAAAAAAAAAAAAGAAGAAGAGCAGTGTTCAGGCAACTATTTGAATATATTTTGTATCCTATTCAAACATTCTTTTTTAAAAACTGTTTTCTTGGCCAGGCGCGGTGGCTCACGCCTATAATCCCAACACTTTGGGAGGCCGAGGTGGGCAGATCATTTGAGGTCAGGAGTTCGAGACCAGCCTGGTCAACATGGTAAAACCCTGTCTCTACTAAAAATTAAAGAAAAATTAGCCAGGTGTGCTGGTGAGCACCTGTAATCCCAGCTACTGGGGAGGCTAAGGCAGGAGAATCACTTGAACCCGGAAGGCAGAGGTTGCAGTGAGCCAAGATCATGCCACTGCACTCCAGCCTGGGCGACAGAGCAAGACTCCACCTCAAAAACAAATAAATAAATAAACTTTTTTTCTTAATTGACAAATACAAATTTTATATATTTATCATGTATAACATGTTATCTTGAAATATGTACATTGTGGAATGGCTCCATCAAGCCAGTTAACACAAATATTACCTCACATACTTATTTTTTCATGATGAGAACACTTAAAATCTACTTTCTTAGCAATTTGCAAGAATACAGTACATTGTTATTAATTATTGTCACCATGTGGTATAACAGATCTCTTCATGGCTCGGACCTGTATTCCCAGCACTTTGGGAGGCCAAAGTAGGAGAATCACTTGAGGCCAGGAGTTCGAGACCAGCCTAGGCAACATAGTGAGACCCTGTCTCTACCAAATAAAAAATAAATAAATTAGTTGGGCATGGGAGTGAGTGCCTGCAGTCCTAGCTACTCAGGACTCTGAGGTGGAAAGATCACTTGAGGCCAGGTGTTGGGGGTTACAGTGAGGTATGATTGTGCCACTGCTCTCTAGCCTCGGTGACACAGCAAGACCCTGTCTCAAAAAATAAATAAATAAATAAGACTTCTTGAACTGATTCCTCCTGTCTAACTGAAACTTTGTACCCTTTGACCAACATCTCCCCAACATTCACTGCCTCCAGCTCCTGGTAACCACCATTCTACTCTCTGCTACTATAAGTTCAATTTTTAAAGTTTATACATTTAAATGAATAATGTCCTTCAGGTTCATCCATTTTATCACAAATAACAAAATTTCCTTTTTTTTTTGAGACAGAGTCTTGCTCTGTCGCCCAGGTTGGAGAGCAGGGGCGCGATCTTGGCTCACTGCAACCTCCACCTCCCAGGTTCAAGGGATTCTCCTGCCTCAGCCTCCTGAGTAGCTGCGATTACAGGCATGTGTCACAATGCCTGGCTAAGTTTTGTATTTTTGGTAGAGACAGGGTTTTGTCATGTTGGCCAGGCTGGTCTCGAACTGCTGGACTCAGGTGATCTGCCCACCTCAGCTTCCCAAGGTACTGGAATTACAGGCATGAGCCACCAAGCCCAGCGAAGATTTCCTTCTTTTTGAAAACTTGGTCTCGGCTGGGCACAGTGGCTCATGCCTGTAATGCCAGCACTTTGGGAGGCTGAGGTGGGTGGATCACCTAAGGTCAGCAGTTCGAGACCAGCCTGACCAACAAGGAGAAACCTTGTCTCTACCAAAAATACAAAGTTAGCTGGGCATAGTGGTGCATGTCTGTAATCGCAGCTACTCTGGAGGCCGAGGCAGGAGAATCGCTTGAACTCGGGAGATGGAGGTTGCGGTGAGCCGAGATCGCACCATTGCACTCCAGCCTGGGCAACAAGAGCGAAACTCCATCTCAAAAAAAAGAAAAACCTGGTCTCAACTGGGCATGGTGGTTCACGCCTGTAGTCCCAGCACTTTGGGAGGCAGAGGCGGGCGGATCATGAGGTCAGGAGTTCAAGACCAGCCTGGCCAACGTGGCAAAACCCCATCTCTACTAAAAATACAAAAATAAGCCAGGCATGGTGGCAGACACCTGTAATCCTAGCTACTCGGGAGGCTAAGGTAGGAGAATTGCTTGAACCTGGGAGGCGGAGGCTGCAGTGAACCAAGATCATGCCATTGCACTCTAGCATGGGCAACAGGAGCAAGACTCTGTCTCAAAAAAACAAACAAACAAAAAACTGGTCTCAACACACTGCTCCTAGCCAAAAAAAAAAAAAAAATTAGAAAGGAAAATAAAGTTGAAGAGTATTCCATTGTGTATATATACACATTTTCTTTTCTTTTTCTTTTTTTGAGATGGAGTCTCGCTCTGTTGCCCAGGCTGGAGTGCAATGGTGTGATCTCGGCTCACTACAACTTCCCCCTCCTGGGTTCGAGCGATCTCCTGCCTCAGCCTCCTGAGTAGCTGGGATTATAGGCGCGCGCCACCAGGCCTGGCTAATTTTTGTATTTTTAGTAGAGATGGGGTTTCACCATGTTGGTCTGGCTGGTCTCAAACTCCTGACCTCGTGATCTGCCTGCCTCGGCCTCCCAAAGTGCTGGGATTACAGGTGTGAGACACCGCACCCGGCCACACATTTTCTTTATCTGTTCATCTACTGATGGACAATTAGGGTGACTCCATATCTTGGCAACTGTGAATAATGCTACAGTGAATGAGTGAATGCGGGGAGTGCGTTACATATCTCCTCAACATACTGATTTCATTTCCTTTGGATGTATGTTGGCCCTCTGTATCTGCAGGTTCTGCATCCGTGGATTCAACCAATTAAAGATTAAAAATATTTTTAAAAAGAAACAATTAAAAATAATAATACAACAGTAAAAATAATGTAATTTTTTTTTTGAGACGGAGTCTTGCTCTGTCGCCCAGGCTGGAATGCAGTGGCGTGATCTTGGCTCACTGCAACCTCTGCCTCCCGGGTTCAAGCAAAATTCTCCTGCTTCAGCCTCCCGAGTAGCTGGAATTACAGATGCCCACCACCATGCCTGGCTAATTTTTGTATTTTTGGTAGAGACAGGGTTTTGCCATGTTGCCCAGGCTGGTTTCGAACTCCTGACCTCAGGTGATCTGCCCACATCAGCCTCCCAAAGTGCTGGGATTACAGGCGTGAGTCACCACGCCCAGCCAAAATAATACAAATTTTAAAAGTATAGTATGATAACTATTTACACAGCATTTGTGCTCTATTAGGTACTTTAAGTAATCTAGAAATCTATTGATGGTTTAAAGTATATAGGAGAATAGGCACAGGTTTATGCAAATACTGTGCCATTTTATATAAGGGGTGTGGGCATCTGCGATTTTGGTACTGGGGGTGGGGAGTGGGGGTCCTGGAACCAATTCCCCACAGATACTGAGGGGCAACCTTATACTCAGTAGTGGAATTGCTGGATCATATGGCAGTTCAATTTTTAGTTTTTTGAGAAACCTGCATCCTGTTTTCCATAAATGGCTGTACTATCATTACTTTAATTAGTAGAAAAACAGAAAAATTAAAATGGCAATGGGAATAATAATAAACATAAGTTTAATAAACATAATACAACCGAGAAATCATTAAGAATGCTGAAAACAGTAAATATTTATCAATGGGACAATCCATAGAATTTGGCCCATCAGACTCTGGTCCGTTGCCTATATGTTCATTTTTGAAGGAAAGGAATAAAATGTGTAAATAAATCTTATGAATAAATATTTTCTCTAAAAGGCAAAATGTCATTAAGGACTTTATAGTATGTGGTAAGAATATACCCTCCTATACCATGCAAGTCTTTGTTCAACTCACACAGCCTACTTCCATGCATTTTTTTCAGGTACATTATATACAAAGGTAGGGAAATGCTTTTGTCTATATATCTTAATCTACTCCTCACACTAATACCTACCAAGCAATGTATTCCAAACTGAAAAAACATTATTAAATATATCAGCAATTTCTGAAATAATAAATAGCGTTAATGAATAAGTCTGTTTCCTTTTACTTTCAAAAAAGGAGGATATAAAAAAAGATGAACAACAACAAAAAAATGGTCAAAGGAGTAAACAAGTAAACAAACACATCAAAATATATTTTTGCAGTGACATTGAGTTGGCATGCCTTTAAAATTATAATACTAAGTGCTGATGAGGGGTGTGATGAAAACAGAAGAGTAAACGCAATTGGGCAAGACTGTTTCAGAAATATTAAAAATATTTATGCTTTTAGTTCTGACAAATTCTTTTATGAATCTAAGTATCCTTAGTTAACCAGAGATTTGGTTAAAGATTAACCAAATGGAGAAAATGGAGAAAAATGTGTACAATACAGATGAGTGGCTAAATATATTATTTATAAAATGAAATATTATGCAACTTTTACAAATCATGGTTTTTTTTTGTTTTTTTTGAGACAGGGTCTCACTCTGTCACCCAGGCTGGAGTGCAGCAGTGCAATCTCAGCTCACTGCAACCTCCGCCCCCCGAGTTCAAGTGATTCTCCCACCTCAACCTCCCTAGTAGCTGGGACTACAGGCACGTACCACCACGTCAGCTAAATTTTTTTTTCTTTTTTTTTAGTAGAGACAGGGTTTCACCATGTTGGCTAGGCTGGTCTCAAACTCCTGGGATCAAGTGATCTACCCCGCCTTGGCCTTGCAAAGTGCTGGGATTACAGGCGTGAGCTATCACCCCTAGCCAAAAATCATGTTTTCTTAGAACATTCAGTGTCATGGGGAAAGGATCATGACATAATACTTAGAACTGAAAATCTGGATAACCTATTTATACAGAATGACTCAAAATTTTTTTTTTTTAAGATGGTCTCTCACTCTGTTGCCCAGGCTGGAGTGCAGTGACAAGATCTTGGCTCACTGCAACCTCTGCCTCCCGGGTTCAAGTGGTTCTACCAGCCTCAGCCTCCCGAGGAGGTGGTACTACAGTCGCAAGCCACGACACATGGCTAATTTTTGTATTTTTAGTGGAGAGGGGGTTTCGCCATGTTGGCCAGGCTGGCAGAATGACTCAATTTTATAACACGCACACATTCATACACATACAGAATAGTCCCCCTTTATCATAGGAAGACCCCCTGTGGATGCCTGAAACTGTGGATAGTATTGAACCCTATATATACTATATATTTTTTCCTATTACATACTTGCCTATAATAAAGTTTAACTTATAAATAAGGCACAGTAAGATTAACAACTAATAATAAAATAGAACAATTATAACAATATGCCAGCATCACTACTCTAGAGCTCTGGCACCATTATTAAATAAAATAAGGGCTACTTGAACACAAACATTGCAGTACACTGCAACAGTAAATCTGATACCCAGAAGCCTACTTAGTAAGTGACTAATGGGCAGGTACCATCATCACCATAGATACATGGGACAAAAGGATGATTCACACCCAAGTGGGATGGAGCAGAAGAGTGTGCAATTTAAAACTTATCAATTGTTTATTTCTGGAGTTTTCTATTGAATATGTTCAGACCACAGCTGACCACAGGTAACTGAAACTGTGTAAAGTGAAACCTCAGGTAAGAGGGGATTACTGTAAACAACTGAAGGATCAGAAGGAAATACACAACCATGTTACTAACAATTATCTTCAAGTGGTAGGATTATGAATGATTATTAGTATCATCTTTATACTACTTTATACTTTTCCCAAATTTCTAAAGTGAGCAAGTATTAATTTTACTACTTAGAAATTATGGAAAACAGGATGTTGGAATAAAATTATTAACAAAAAATAAAACTATCCTCTCTAACCTTGCTAGCTATTAAGCCAAACAGTCCCTAATTAGTTAAACCTGGAAAGATTATAATTTCAAATATTTAGGGAGGATCTTGTACAGAAAGCAAATAAAGAAGAAGAAAAGTACATCAGTGAAGTCCGACCCTCCTCAATAATACAACAAACTCCCAATACACGAATTCAGTAGATTTCCCTACTAACACCTATTGAAATGATAAAATCTAATTAGAAAATTAGTTATAACTGATTTATTTCCCTTACATAAAGTGTGGAAATATCTTATTATTTGGTTTCATTTTGGAGAATAATTATCACATGAAAATCAAAAATATGAAACAACAGAGGGAAATTTTTTAAAGTCAACAGTCCTACTGATAATGGCCTCTGTTTACTAGTGATAGTGTTGAGATAGCAGAAGATCTTTAAGCCTGCAACCATGGTTTAGTCTTATAATTTACTAAATGATTAATGATGCAGATATGCCTTGCTAAATTGATTGATGTTAATGCAGTAGCACTGATGTTGCCATAATATACTTGATCAATATAACTTCTCTGAATTAAACACTTTCCTTCACCATAACATCAACAACTGGTTTATTTGTAGTAATTCTGCATTTATTTATTTATTTATTTTTGGAGACAGAGTCTTGCTCTGTCGCCCAGGCTGGAGTGCAGTGGCATGATCTCGGCTCACTGCAACCTCTGCCTCCCAGGTTCAAACGATTCTCCCGCCTCAGCCTACCGAGTAGCTGGGATTACAGGCATGCGTCACCATGCCCGGCCTATTTTTGCATTTTTAGTAGAGACGGGGTTTCCCCATGTTGGCCAGGCTGGTCTCAAACTCCTGACCTCAGATGATCCGCCCGCCTTGGCCTCCCAAAGTGCTGAAATTACAGGCATGAGCCACTGCACCCGGCCACTGCATTTTAATAAATAAGCAAGCTCTAATGAACTGAGGTGAAACCAACCATAGATAACTTCTACTAAGACTTACATTACATTTTTTAATGCTTAAAAATTATGTCTTTTGTCTTAGGCAACTTGTATTGCTTTGAAAGTATATTCAAATAAATTTGTAAACCAATTTCATACTAAAACGTATTTTTATTTTTTTGAGGCAGGGTCTCACTGTGTCACCCAGGCTGAAGTGCAGTGGTGTGATCCTAGCTCACTGCAGCCTTAAACTCCCAAACTCAAGGGACTCATCTGCCTCAGCTTTCAGAGTAGCTGGGACTACAGGCACACACGCCACCATGCTCAGGGGAGTTTTTTCATTTTTTTTTTTTGTAGAGACAGGACCTCACTATATTGCCTAGGCTGGTCTCTAAGTCTTGGCCTCAAGCCATCCTCCCACCTCAGCCTCCCAAAGAGCTGGGATTACGGGTGTGAGCCGCTGTGCCCAGCTGAAATTATTTTTGAGAACACACTGCTTAAAAAATGTTCTCTGTAGCCAGGCACAGTGGCTCACATCTGTAATCCCAGCACTTTGGGAGGCCGAGGCGGGTGGATCACAAGGTCCAGAGTTCAAGACCAGCCTGGACAATATGGTGAAACCCCGTCTCTACCAAAAATACAAAAATTAGCCGAGAGTGGTGGTGGATGCCTCTAATCCCAGCTACTTGGGAGGCTGAGGCAGGGAACTGCTTGAACCCGGTAGGCGGAGGTTACAGTGAGCTGTTGTTGTGCCACTGCACTCCAGCCTGGGCGACAAGCCTGGGCGAGACTCCGTCTCAAAAAAAAAAAAAAGTTTTCCGTAAAGTCCTTTGAAAATGAAGGATTATTTTATGGAAAACTAATCACATACATACCCTTAATTTTTATCTTTAAAATTTTATTTGATTTTTCACACATCAGATTTGCTTAAGGCAAGACATGCCTAATATATAGGTTAGGACATACAGACAATCCAAAATCAAGGGCAAGTCACTTAACTCTGTGTCTCACTTCTCTTTATCTACAAATTGAGGACAATTCCTTCTTATGTGTAAGTGGTTGTTATGAGAGTAAATTGGAATAACATGTTTAACCATTGGATCCAGACCTGTGGTTCTCAAACTTAAGAGTGCATCAGAATCACTAGAGCGGGCCCATTCCCAAAGTTTCTGATTCAGCAAGTGAGGGGCAGAGCGCAAGAATCTGCATTTCTAACAAGTTCCCAGGTGATGCTGACCCTCTATTCGAGAACCACACTTTAAGAATCCCTGATGTAGACCAACATGTGCACGAATCTTGGCTCTGCCACTTAGCTTCTCTGAAACTCAGTTACTCTAACTCTAAAACTAGACATAAAGCTATCTCACAGGCTGTGGAATTTAGGAATTATGTAAGTAATGTACAGTGCCTGTTATACAGTGCCTGGTTCATAACAGATATTTGGTAGTAGCAATAGTAGTTTTTACCACTACCACAAACACCAACACCGCCACTAATATTTCTACGAAGTAATGGAACATGTAGAACATTAACAATGCCCAATTGGGTTTTTTTGTCATTTTTTAAAATTGTATTTATCATGTACAACATATTTTGAAGTATACATACATTGTGGAATGGTTTGAACTAGCCAATTAACAAATGTGTCACTTTACATAATTATCATTTTTGCAGTCATTGTCAATTTTTTTTTTTTTTTTTTTTTTAGATGGAGTCTTGCTCTGTCGGCCAGGCTGGAGTGCAGTGGCGCGATCTCGGCTCACTGAAATCTTTGCCTCCTGAGTTCAAGTCATCCTCCCACCTCAGCCTCCCAAGTAGCTGGGATTACAGGCACATCACCACCACTCCCGGCTAATTAGCGTCAAATTTTTTAATTGCATTAAACTGCACTGTAATTTAAAGTTTCTTATTTTATATTAATTCCGTTTTTTTTTGAGAAGGCATCTCACTGTGTTGTCCAGGCGGGGGTGCAATGGTGGGATCTCGGCTCACTACAACTTCCGACTCCCGAGTTCAAGCAATTCTCCAGCCTTAGCCTCCTGAGTAGCTGCGACTACAGCACGCACCACCATCCCTGGCTAATTTTTTGTATTTGTAGTAGAGACGGGGTTTCACCATATTGGCCAGGCTGGTCTCAAACTCCTGGTCTGAAGTGATCCACCCACCACCTCGGTCTCCCAAAGTGCCCGGCCTCTTAATTCCTTTTCTGATAAATGTTAATTATAAACTAGTTGACAAATCTCTACAATATATTTTATAACAATGAAGAGGAAAATGGCTCTAGGGTACAATTGTTTGTGTTCAAATTTCAGTTCTGTCTTATATTAGCTATGTGTCTGTGGCTCCCAGTTTTCTAATCAATAAAATAAAAACACTAATAGTATAACAGTACCTACTTCATAAGGTTGTGAAAACTGCATGAGTTAAAATGTTTATTTTATGGTAGGCACTATTCAGTTAAAACTCATAAAATAAACATTCAATAAATGTTAACCATTATTATTATTATCCCAATATATTGTCAGTAACATTATGAATGATATTAAATCATTAAACAGATAAAATTTTATTTGAAGGTAAAATTCAAATAATTAGTTTTTTTCGAATTATTAGTAAGAACTAGTCTTCTATTAGATTGAGCCATATGAACAGCTAATGTGCAACTACTTTTCACCTATTAAAAACAGTAATTTCATGTGGTTGAAGCTAACAGCTTTCATCCTAAACTCTCTGATCATTCCTCTGAGCCTGTTAGCAGTTCCACCCTAGTATGATCCAAGGTTTAATCATCAGCTCTCTTCTCACTCTGATCTTCCAGAAGGATAACACTCAAGACTACCATGGCTTTAATCAAAGACTAAAAATCCAAAGGTTTTATCTAGCCCATAGATGCATTTTATTCGGTCTACATAAAAAATTGTTCCTAAAACTGGAGAGTTCACACACACACACACACACTCAACCCCATTCACAAAAAATAAATAAATAAATAAATTAATTAATTAATTAATTTCTGGCTTCTCTTGGAAAAAAAAGGATGATCTGACAACAATGGGCAAACATTCCAAGCCTACAACTGTCTGGAACTAAGTGGCAGCTATCCCTTTACACAGGGTGTGACCTCTCCAACTTGCTAGTCTTTACACAGCCATACTCTTCACTCATTTACAGTTATGCACTGCTTAATGACTGGAATCTGTTCTGAGAGATGTGTCGTGAGAAATGCATCATTAGGCAATTTCATCACTGTGCCAACATCAGTACATGAACCTAGATGGTAAAGCCTACTACACACCTAGGCTATAGGGTTTGGCTA